>NC_000005.10:27277517-27580548 GCF_000001405.40 Homo sapiens | reverse complement strand
GAAAGTATAACAAGTGAGGTTAGCGAAGGGACAGTTTATATTCTTTTTTTTTTTTTTTTTTTTTTTTTGAGATAGAGTCTCGCTCTGTCGCCCATGCTGAAGTGCAATGGCGTGATCTCGATCTCGGCTCACTGCAGCCTCTGCCTCCCCGGTTCAAGCGATTCTCTTGCCTCAGCCTCCCAAGTACCTGGGATTACAAGGGCCCGCCACCACGCCTGGCTAATTTTTGTATTTTTAGTAGGAGAGTTTCGCCATGTTGGCCAGACTGATCTCAAACCCCTGACCTCAGGTTATGCATCCGCCTTGCCCTCCCAAAATGGGGAATGACTATATTCTTACTACCTCTCAGGTATAAGAAAAAACTTATGTGGAATGCAGGCAATCCCCTGGGTTTATTAATTGTATTCCAATGTTATAATTTTAAATGTAAATCTACCCCAATAGACAGTTTTGCTAATAACCAAAACTCATCAGGAAGGAATATTGAGGTCACCCAGTTAGACAAGGAACCACGACCAACAGAAGTGGCATTTTAGAACAAAGAGAATAAAGAATGAACAGTTACGATAATAAAAATCATAAGAGCTGTGATTTTCTGGCCAATTGAAGAAATGAGGACTTTCCTATTTATACGGTTTTCTGCCTTATTTTAATGTGGGTGTATTTATAAATACAACTAGTACTTTCCACTTGTTTCTCCTCACCCATACTCTTACCATCTAGCATCAGTTTTGTTTATAGTAATTACTTTTTATTCACATGTCAGTAATACAAAGGTGATGAGTGTGACTCTGCTATAAGCAGAATAAACATTATTTTAAAAAGAATAAGTTGACCTATGGGACTTCGTTTCATCTTTTGGGGAGATGATTAGTGCATTTGTGGTTTTAGTAAAGATAGCTGTGTCATGAGGAGATTCTATTAGATTACAACAGTGATGATAGCTTTTGAAGGAATGAGAAAATGAGACTGATATGTTAAGATACATTTACAAGAATAAATTGTCGGCCTATACGTTGATAATATTTAAAATTATTTTCTGTTGCATTTAATTATTTCCCTGTTTATTATAAAATATACTGATATTTGATCGAATAGATTTACAATTATGAGATTAGACTTTTTTTAAAATTTTAGGATTTTTAGTTTCTTAGGCTTCCTTTACTAAAATAACTTTATGGTAACTACCTGCAGAAAGATTTTTGGCAATTTATTTTATTTTGTTTATTTTGTGAACCCATATGTATTGCTACATGTCGTTTCACTGCATGCATTTCATAAAAGTTTAATCATTACATAATTTAATAGATTCAGTTATTCTTTTTCATAAATCACTATATTTTAGTATGAATCTTAACTTACCTGAAAAAATGCTAGGTTTTGCTACTTAGTATATAACTTTATATCTTAGTATATATATATATATATATATATATATATCTCTCTATAACTAAACTTTCACTTAAAATTAATGCAATATTTCAGTGTGTCCAAACGGGTTTTTCTACTGAATTCTGGAAGTATAGTCTATTTATAGAGAAAAAAAAATACCATGCAAATAGCATTAAAATGCCTTTCAAATGCTGCATAATGAAAACCACTAATTTTTTTGTACTGTTGGGGTGCATGATAAGCAATAGCATGGCCTACATAGAAAATTAAACTATATGTTTATATAATTGAAAATCAGTAAAAAAATTAACAACATAATGACTGTACAAAATCAAGATTTTAGTCAATTCTAGTGGGGAAGGAAACAGGACAAAGAAGCCTATGTAGGAGACTAAAGTTTTCTATTTATTGATCTAGGTAGAGAAGAAATGGTTAATCGTTCTGTAATTATTTATTAAGCATTTCATTTTTGCATCTTTTTGCATCTACATTATATTGCCCCATCCAGCTATGAAGAAAATATATGTGTAATAAAATGTACAATAATCTTAAGAAAATGTGTTTCCTTTCTTGGTAATAACATTACCAAGAATAATTTAGCATTATGTTTGCAGTTTTATATTTTAAATTTATTTGTATTTGGATTGTATAACTTTTTAAATATCTCAAAGAAAAAGTGTTATATCAGCATTTTCTACTTGTTTTAAAAATAATTTTAAATATAATACAAAATACATGATTGTATACTGAATTTATAACAGTCACATATAAACTGTTATAAATATATTACTAATTATTTCACCTTACCTGAGACATATTTTATATGTAGTACTTTATGCTTTAAGCCCTCTGAGCTATTTTCTCTGACTTAACATTAATAAATTATAAAAATTCAAAATGAGAAATTTCTTCTCAGAATGAGCTTAGAATTAAATCATTTTCTCCCTTCAATATTTTACTTTATTTAAAAATTTCTAATAAACCTTTCTGAAGATATAGCTATCTACAAAGCTAATCAGATATCCTCAATAATTTTTCTGTAACACTTTAACAAAGACCTGTGTGACATTTCAGCACTTTAATAAGCCAGCTTAAAACATCTAAAAACTTTGCATTTTACAGACATATGGATTATTATTTTAGAGCAGATTTACAGTGTTTTTATTAAATTGCTGTTTAAAGAAGGTTCATTTTAAGGGTTAGAAATATAATATGGGACTATTTCTTCTAAAAGTCATATAAAATTATAGCTAGTAGAGCTGGAGCCAGTCTTAGAGTTTGTCTCAATCAATGCTCCCTACTTCATAATGAGTAAAGCAAGACCCAAAGAGAGGAAGTAACTTTCAAGAAGTCAAATTAAGAGATCAGTTTCCAAAAGAATTAAATTTCCTTAACATTTTACCTAGTTTAACTCACTCTTGATATTATGAATCTTTGTTGAGTCTACATTATCATTTGATTCACTGCATTCAGCATTTTAAATTAAATTATCTAAGGAGTAACAGAAACATGATTTAGATTCTGCATTAACCTCAGACCCAGTGTTTATCTAGCTTTTCATTATAGAATAAATGTAAAATCCAAGAAGACTGCATTTTTAGATTAGTAGTAATCTTTATGCAGTAAGTATCATCTAGCAGATGAGTATTTTGGAACAATTTTTATTCTTCCATTAAGCTTCAAGCACTTGGAAATAGTAGAGAATACTGTTACTTTAGACATCCCAAGACACACCTCACCTAAAAGTTACCTGTTTAATGAGCTGTCAAGGGTAAATCTATTTCTCACCTTCTCTGGGACACCATTTTCACAGAATAAAAAGTTGGTAAATCCATGCAGAGGTTTCCATGACAATGCCCCCATAGAAAACCAATAGAATTGAACCTTAACAGATAATCTAGAGTAACTATTAGCCAACTTCACAAAGCCACTGAGAATGATTAAAGTCAAAGTACTCAGAAATATTAGCAGATTAAGTATTTTTTTCACAATTTAATTAGATATATGTTCCAGATTTTGTTCCTTTCATTTTATTTGCATAGATTTCCAACTATGCTCGACACCTAGCCGATGTGTAAAAATAGGTTTTCTTTGTAATTTTTAAATGCCCTTTATCTTCTCTCTCAAATAATGTTTTTAAAGTAGAAAAATAATGTTCATTTGGGTAAACAATCTGAATAATCTATGTAATAAATGGTAAAATAATAAAACACAAAAGTTATTTTTAGATACTAACAGAAAAAAGTTAAATGATTAAAATAGTAGTTGTTATACTAATTTTTATTTTTTTAATATACATAGAAACACTCTTAAGCATTCAAGTAGATTTTGACAGTCTTGAGACTAGCTGAATAGTGGACAGAAATTACCAGTCTTTACTGTGTCTGAGAAGAAAATGAACCAAAAGTGAACAATTCCTACATTTCAGAGTTATATTTAGAATTAAAACATTTCTCTTTATTATGACTAATTTTGATAGATAAATATATTAATAAGAAATAGTTCTGTTTTATTCTTGTTTGATATGTTGGATTTATCTTCTTTAACAAGTAGAAGTTGAGATCCTGTCAGTTTAAATACAACTAGTGTCAGGTCATTTGCCATTAATTTTAGAAATTAAGTGAAAGGCTGGAGGCATGATGTAAGATTATAACTAAATTATACTGGGTAATAAACTTCTGATTTAGACTCTGTGTTATAACTATGGACATACAAGGTCACATGTTCTTTGTCATAAGACATAACATGTATTTCAAGCTAAAATTTTAAATCTTTGAGGACAGAGACTCAGTTGCACCCTTTTCTTCAAACGCACTGACAGAAATAAGCATGTAATATGTAACGAATATTTTAATTGGTGATTGAGGTAAATACAGATAGTGTAAAATATAGTTTTGTTTGCTTTGATTTTAAAAATTTTCAAAATGTCCCCTCGTTGTACGTAAGAATTCTATTTATTTTATTTATTTTTAAAATTTTATTATATATACCTAAGGTGGACGGCATGATGTTTTCATACCATATGCATATTAAACTGATTACTGCAATCAAGCTAATTATTATGTCCATCTCCTCACATAGTTATAGTTTTTGTGTGTGGTAAGCACATTTAAGTATACTCTCTTGGAAGATTAAAGTGTGCAAAGTAGCATTATTAACTACTGTCACCTTACTGTTCAATAGTTCTCCAGAACTTAGGTGTCCTATGTAACTAAAACTTTGTACCCTTTAACTAACATGAGATGTCAGAATTTTTATTTATTTATTTATTTATTTATTTATTTATTTATTTAGACGGAGTCTCACTCTGTCGCCTACGCTGGAGTGCAGTGGCGTGATCTTGGCTCACTGCAAGCTCCGCCTCCCGGGTTCACGCCATTCTCCTGCTTCAGCCTCCCAAGTAACTGGGACTACAGGCACCCGCCACCACGCCCGGCTAATTTTTTTTTTTACATTTTTAGTAGAGACAGGGTTTCACCGTGTTAGCCGGTATGGTCTCGATCTCCTGACCTTGTGATCCACCCGCCTTGGCCTCTCAAAGTGCTGGGATTACAGGCGTGAGCCACCGCGCCCGGCCAAGATGTCAGAATTTTAATAATTCAGAATAAGAATATATACAAAGGGTTAGCTGCAATGTTTGACTGTATTCTTGCAGATTGTATAACTTGGGAAGGAGGGTTGGTTTTATTCATGTTTGAATCCCTGATAGTGTGGCAGAACTCTGGCCACACAGCGAAACTTAAATGAATGTGCCGGAAGATGTCATTGATTTTAACACAACATAACCTGTGATTCTTGATAAATGAAAAATGAACAACAGCAATAAAGCATGCTCTCCACTTTGGTAAATATGTTTTGAGGTAAATAAATCTAGAAGATATATGCACACACACACACTATACATATAGATAGATAGGTTTATATATGCTGCATATATTTTATATTACATACAGATTAATATATGAAATAAAAATTAAAATTTTTATTGATAAATCCACCCATTTAGATGATAGTTTAAAAATAGATTCAGAGGTTAACTGTGCATGTTTGTTGCATGGATATATTGTGTAGTGGTTTGGTTTGGGCTCCTAGTGTACCCATCACCCAAATAGTGAAGACTGTACTCAACAGGTAATTTTTCAGTGCTCACTCCCCTTACATCCTCCCCCGTTTAGAGTCCCTAGTGTCTATTATTTCCCTCTGTATGTCCATGTGTACCCATTATTTAGCTTCCACTTACGATCTTTGATTTTCTTTTTCTGAGTTATTTCACTCGGGATAATAGTCTTCATCCATGTTGCTGTGAAAGACATGAATTCATTCTTTTTTATGGTTGCATAGGGTTTCATGGCATATATATATATATATATGGCATTTATATATAACGTTTATATATATAATGTGTATATATAATGTGTGTGTATATATGATGTGTGTGTGTATATATATAAAGTATATATATAAAGTGTGTGTATATATATATAATGTGTGTGTATATAGGTGTGTGTGTGTGTATGTGTGTGTATTTATATATATATATCTAACAAGAATGCGACATATATATATATATATATATATATATATATATATATGTATGTCACGTTCTTTATATCCAGTCATCCACTGATGCAAAATTAGGTTGATTCCATGACTTTGCTATTGTGAATAGTGCTGCTATAAACTTATGAGTGTATGCGTCTTTTTGATATATTTATTACTTTTCCTTTGGGTCAATACCCAGTAGTGGGTTGCAGGGTCAAATGGTAGATCTGTTTTTAATTCTTCGAGAACTCTCCATGCTATTTTCCATAGAGATTGTCCTAATTTACATTTCCACAAACAGTGTATAAGTGTTGCCTTTTCTCCCTGTTCTCACCAAACTCCGTTTTTTTTTTCTTTTAATAATAGTCATTCTAACTGGTGTGAGATAATATCTCACTGTGGTTTTGATTTGCATCTCTCTAATGATTCTTGATGTTAAACATTTTTTTAAAATGTTTGTTGGCGGCTTTTTTTATGTCCTTTCTTGGAAAATATCAATTCACGTCCTTTGCCCACTTTTTAATGGGGTTGATTTGTTACTTGTGGTTTGAGTTTCTTATAGATTCTGGATATTAGCCCTTTGTTGGATGCAGTTTGCAAATAATTTCTCCTATTTGTAGGTTGTCTATTTACCCTGTTGATGATTTATTTGGCTCTGCAGAAGCTTTTATGTTTAATTAAGTCTCAATTATCTATTTTGGCTTTTGTTGCATTTGCTTTTGAGGTCTTAGTCATAAATTCTTTGCCTAGGCCAATGTCCTGAAGAGTTTTTCCTATATTTTCTTCTAGGACTTTATAGTTTCACATCTTACAGTTAAGTCTTTAATCCAGCTTAAATTATATTTTGAATATGATAAGAGATAGTCGTTTAGATTCATTCTTCTACATATGATACAATTTCCCCAGCACAATTTACAGAATAATGTGTCCTTTCCTTATTATTTCTTTTTGCCCACTTTGTCAAAGATCAGTTGGTTGTAAATATGTGGCTTTATTTCTGGGTTTCACTTTCTGTTTCATTGATCTACTTGTCTATTTTTTTCATACCAATACCATAATGTTTTGGTTATTCGCCTTGTAGTATAATTTGAAGTCAGGTAATATGGGGCTTTAAGCTATGTTCTTTTTGCTTAGGATTTCTTTGGCTATTCAGTCTCTTTTTTGTTCCATACAAATTTTAGAATTGTTTTTTCTACTTCAGTGAAAAATAATGTTGGTAATTTGATAAGAATTGCATTGAATGTGTAGAATGCCTTGGGCAGTGTGGTCATTTTAATAATATTGATTCTTCTGATCCAAGATTGTGGAATGTTTCTTCAATTGTTTGTGTCATCTATAATTTCTTTCACCAGTGTTTTCTACTTTTCACTTCCTCTGCTTAGTATATTCCCATGTATTTTACTTTTGTAGCTATTGTAAATGAAATTGAAATTTTTATTAATAAATCTACCCACTTGCGTTATGAAATTTTTTATGAAAGGAAGATGTCACATGTATCTATGGTTCAATTAATTGATTCATCTATCTTTTCCTCCATTGATTTAAACATCCATCTATCCATTTCCAGGAATAGTTATGACCAGAATTATACATTAAAAGTATATTTGATGAAATAAAAAGTGAAATAATAAATACATTATTATATATATACACATGTTATAAAATATTATTAGTGTTTCATGGCATATATATAGATATGTATATAGCACATTTATATATATATCACGTTCTTTAAATCCAGTCATCCACTCATGAAAAGTTAGGTTGATTCTATGACTTTGCTATCATGAATAGTACTGCTATAAACATACGGGTGTATGTGTCTTTTTGGTCTATTTATTACTATAATAAATATATTTATAAATAAATATATTTTTATTTATACTTTTATTATACTTTTATTTATTATTTATATTTTATTTTACTTAAATATTATTATTTATAAATACATATTGATGTTTTATTACTATAATTACATTATAAACACATATATATGCCATGAAACACTAATAAACACAATAAATGAATAAACCATTTAACTAAATTGATATTCTTAATTTTTTTCATAACTCATACTAAACATTTAGCACTACAGTTTTGTTTGAAATCTAAACTATTGTAATTGCAAAAATTTTCTTTGGGCAGAAGGCAAAAACTAAAATAAATTAGTATAGAATACATTTTGTAAATGCAGATACATGAGAGAGAGAAAGAGAGAGAGACAGAGAGAAAGAGGCATGGGAGGAAAGAGAAAGGGAGGGATGTATGAAAGGAAGAAGAGATGACGGAATAAAATAAGGAGAATATCTACACAAATTTGGCATTTGGTATTTGCCCTTTTCTATATAGTAGAACTCCCCTTATCTAGATATAGTCCAAGACCCTCAGTGGATGCCTAAAGCTGTGGATAGCATCAAATCTTTTGTATACAGTGGATTCTAGAAAAGCATGGGTTTGAACTGTGCGGGTCGGCTTATACGTGGATTTTCTTCTGCCTCTGCTAGTGCTGAGTCAATAAGATAACCCCCTCCTCTTTATCTTTCTTCTCAGCGTCTCAATCTGAAGATTACAAGCATGAAGGCATTTATAATGATCCATTTGCACTTAATGAATAGTGAATATATTTCCTCTCCCTTTCCTTTTTCTTGTTCCTTTTTTTTTTTTTTTTGAAACGGATTTTCTCTGTCACCCAAGCAGGAGTGAGTACTGTGGTGAATCATGGCTCACCATGTTGGCAAGGCTCTTCCTGAACTCCTGACCTCAAGTGATCCACCCGCCTCCCAGAGTATTGGGATTACAGATGTGAGCCATCAATTCCGGACTCCCTTATGATTTTCCTTTATAACTTATTCTTTTCTGTTACTTATTCTAAGAATACAACATGTAACACAAATAACATAAAATATGTGTGAATCTACTGTTTATGTTATTGGTACTTTCATTTAACAGTAAGCTATTAGTGATTAAGTTTTGCGGTAGTCAAAAATTATATGCAAATTTTTTCCTGTGTGGGAGTTTGGCGCCTCTTACTCTTGTATTGTTCAAGAGTCAACTGTACTTTTTTCCAATACATAGATACTTATGATAAAATTTAAATTATAAATTAGACACAATAGGAGATTAACAGCAGTAACTAATAATAAAATGAAATAACGTACTCTAATAAAAATTATGTGAATGTGGTCTCTCTTTCTTTCTGTCTCTCTCCCTGCCTCTCTCTCTCTCATCCCACAAAGTATCTTTTTGCACAAAATATTTTGTACTACCGTTTCAGTAATTGAAACTGAAGAAAGGGAAATCATGCATAAGAAGGAGCTACTATATTAAAATAATTAAACAAAATTTTGCATATTTCTCCAAAGAACCCCTATGGTATTTAAGTTGTCTTTGTAAAACTGTTTTTCTAAATTTTCGTTTCTACATTATTGTATTTGTAAGGGTTGATGCCCTGTTTTGTGACAGTCATTGGGACTCTTTTTCTTAAAAAAAATTACCTTATTGTCTAGAACTGATATTATATATGTTCCTATATTCTCAGATAAATCTCTTACTTTGTTTCTACTTGTTTTTTGGTAATAATATTTTGTTAGTTATTTATTACTGTGTTGTAAATTACTAAAACTCTAAAAACTGAGCAGCTTAAAGAAATATACATTTATTATCTCACAATTTATGTGTGCCAGGAATCTAGGCACAAGTTGTGAAGTTCACCTGTTTATTGTCTTACAAGGCTATAATCAAAGTATTAGTGAGTTTTTGTTCTTACCTGTAATTTTGAGTAGGGAAGAATCAACTTCCAACTCCCTAATGTTATTGGGAGAATGCATTTCTTTACATTTTTAGGACGAAAATTTTCAGGTTTTTCCAGAATGTCAGATTGAGGCCACTCTCAGCTCCCAAGAGGCTACCCACTGTTCCCCGCTACATAGCTTTTTCCATAGACAGTTCACAAGATGGCAGCTTCCTAATTTAAAGACAGCAGGAGAGCAGAAAACAGCAAGACTCAAAAGCAAGTTAGCTAGAAAGATTGTCTTATGTTAAGTTAGCTAGAAAGATAGTCTTATGTAATGTAATCATGTTTGACATTCTATCAATTTTGTCACATTCTATCGATTACAAGCAAGTTCGTTCACCCACATTGAAGAAAATGGCACTGTACTAAATTGTGAATAGAGAAGGCAAGGATCAGGTGGTCATTTTAGAATCTGTCTGCCACACTGATTTATGATCTTCTATCAAAGTTTTTCTTTTAATATTGGGACCCAGAAATTGTTTTAATATATTAGCTTTATGTTTTCTAAAACATATTTTATGGTGGAAACTTAAGGTTCTTTTTGATGTCAAATATGAGCTCTGTACCTCCAGTCAGCCTCATTTTGTATACTTACCAAATCTGATCACATATTTTCAATTGACAAAAGCAATTACAATTATTTTTAGAAATCGGTTTTATGTTCAATACTTTATAACAAGTGATATTGTTTCAGTTTCCTTAGAAAAATATATTAAATAACCTAAACCAATTATATACATTTGTGTATGTATACGTATGTGTGTGAATATATATATACACATATATATGTATAGTAACTGTAAAAGTTATGATAAGCTAACTTTAAAGCCTCAACAATGAAAAAATCTATAATAACTAATACATATTTTTCAGTTCTGAATTTTTCTTCTAATATGTGACTTTAATAATGGCACACATATAAATACAGGTTGAGCATCTGTAATACCAAAATCCAAAATCTAAAATGCTTCAAAATCTGAAACACTTAAACACCCACAAGATGATCAAAGAAAATGCTCACTGAAGCATTTTGGATTTCAAATATTTGGATTAGAGATGCTTAACCAGTATAACATAAAGATGAAACGCTTCTGGTCCTAAGAATTGCAAATAAGGGATACTAAACCTCTAGTAGTCCTGAACAAAATATGTGTATTTTATCAATAATAAGTTCCTTTTAAGTTTGTTCTTCATTTAGCCTTGAGTGGGTATGTTGCTATATAAAATATGTGTATATATACACATTATGTACTGAGTTTTAAGCATATTTTAAACTAGTAACATCCAATCATTTTTGTTTAAATAAAGGGAAAGTCTTCATATGTGTGTAGATATTTAAAATACTTTATATACGATTGTTTGTTTCCTTAATTAAAACCTTTATTGTCTTTATAGCTTGACTGATTTTTACTCATTATTAGACCTTGAGATTCTGGTTATTATACAGTGAATGCAGATAATTATTTTATTGTGTATCCACATATAAATTATAGCTATACTAAATTTGATGCAAGCACTATGGAGAAGCAAATTTCTTGCTGCAGAGGGAAATATATCAAGAATATTCAAAATATCAACTAAAATCTTCTGACTGAAAATTATAACTTTAGTTGTATTTTAGATTTACATTGTACTTTCTTAATAAGAGTACAGTTATTTTACTTATGTAAAAGTAGTTAAAATAATTTTTCCTTATCTTAATAAAAATGATGAAAAGAATAAGGTCAAGATTAAATGACACGTCTAGGGTGAGGAGTCAGAGAAGTATGTATCCAGCATTTACTTAAGACTCTGAATGCCAATTTGAGTCACTCTAATGGAAGGCAGCCATGCCCATGCAGTGGAGAGTTCTGTAGAATGGGGGACAGACACATGTAGGGCCTCGGAAATGGGAGTCCCAAGCATGTCTTGGCCTCTATCCAGCTAAACTTTTTTCAACATACTTCTGGATTGTTGAGCTAATTTCTTCACAGTCTTGTGTTTCAAATTAAATAGGAAGATTTAAAGCAATTCAGAAGCATATTCAACATCTTGAGAGCAGAGGCAATTTTCTTTTCAATACAATATCATAAATACAAGTATAATGCTAGCAATTGGTAATTGTTAAACATATGCTTTCTGAATGAATTAATATTCTGTTTGGTTTTTTCCAATACCTTGATATATATATATATATATTTTTAGAAATAAGTAATATACTAGTTATAGGAGTGGTTTGAGTATCATATAAGTAATGCATTTCCTTTCCAGAGATTCTTGTGGGTAAAGCCTGAATATTAAAGTAGTTCACCAATAACTTTTTTCTCTATAAAAGAGGAATTAAAATTATAAAATGAGAAAGGAGTTATCGCAAAGCTGATTATTAATCACTACAGATTGCAATATACTTTAGGTTAAAAAGTAGCACTACTAATGATAATCCCCCAGATGTTGCCTTCTTTCTTAAATGTGATTTTTAAAAAAGTTTAGAAAATATGCACCAATTGAGCTTGCTGTACTGGTTGTATTTTTATAACATGTACTTACTTTTTTTTTTCTTTTAGGAAATTGATGTTTTAACTTCTCTTAGATGTAATTATGAATTGATCCGCATTGACAGAAATATAACTATTCATTGCTTAGGCATACACTGGCATGTACTATGTTGGGGTAATATGTCTAAATGTCATTTTATAACACAAATGGAATTAGAGTAAAATATTTTAATGAATGTATTATTTCATTTATTCTCAATTCATATGAGAAGATAATTTCTCAGGAGAAAAAAATTTTTAAAAAGTTTTCAATTATAAAGATTAAAGAGCATTTAAAATGTCTCCGATTGGGGATTCACTTCACAGAGATCTTTACCTGGATTTAGCAACTGAGTCTTTCTGTTTTGAAAAATTCCCCTGCCAAGTGAGGAAGGTTATTGAATAACTAGAAACGTTGCAATTCAGGAAAGATTTTTGTCGTAATTCCTTCCCCACACCAGTAGTTAAAGAGTGTGGGTAAATCCTACAAAACTTATTCTGCTGTCACTTATATTTGTATGAAATAAAATAGAATTCTGCAGAGCTTTGCACAGTATTAAGTTTAGAGGAGGAGAAGAGGACAGAGAAAAGGAATTGGGGTAGGTTACATGACAGCAATGTTTCCTCCGCCACCTCAGAAAGAGTGCATGTACTCCTCTCTGCTTGTTTGTCTCATGAGTCTGGATGCTCAAAAGCTTAATTTTACTGCCCTTATGATTATCTAGTAGGAAGCTGAGAATGAAATGAAGATAGAGAGTTTTCCCTTTTCTTCAAATTAATAGTTAGCAAACTTGCAGAAGTGTTTCTATAATTATAATATTTCTGCTGGAATAAGGAATACTCATATTCATGAAGAGAACTTGATACATCTTTATTGGTTTTGTTCCTTCTTTCCAGAGAAGCCTAGAAAAATCCAGAAAGCATACTTTTCTCTTTACTTTTGAAGGCTATAAGGGATCAAATTTCACAAATTTCTTTTATAATCTATTTCAAGGTTTTACCGTTGACATCATGAAGACAGTCATTTCTGCAGTCAAAAAAAAATTCTGTTTTTATTAAAGCATATTTTATCCTTTTATTAGTGCCCATTTATTAATTTACTAGCAACTTAAACCAATAAATATCCTCCTCTAAACTATTAAATACATAAGTCAAACGTATTACATTTTCAAATGAAATTTATGATTTTGCAAATTATTTTTGGTTTATAGGACTCACTGTGAATCAACATATGATATTGGAGGTGCAAATGATTCAATCCTAAAATTACACTTTCCTAACTGAACAATGCCAATTCTCTTAGCCCTCCACATTGAGTAAAGTTTAATATCTATGTCTACTTTACTGGGCTGTGGGCTAACTAAATAAAATTCCATACTCACAACTATGATATTTCATATGTTCCTATTATCTACTCAGTTCAGCTTGGTTTTTCTCTTTTAATTGAATCAACATATAAAAAACTATATTCTAAAATTTGTTGACTCAATTATTTGGATATTTCAGCATATATTTTGAATAAAAAATAATGAGTGACCTTTCCATTGTCTTCTATGTAGTAGCTGAAACCTAATCCACTGTCTCACCAAATTTTGCATATTTTCATTTTCATCAGCTGTGGCATTTATTTCTCAAAATCCCACATAAGATTAATAGGGATACCTCATGATATATATTTCTCTAATATTTTATTCTACCCAAAATGATATTTAGGAGACCTATTATTTCTATATAAATATAATGACATTATTAATGTATTTATTTTTAAGCTATGTTTAGTTTAATTTAAATATTCACTTACTAAGGTTAGCTATCAAAGTTAGCATTTTAAGCACATTTGATCCATTTCTGAGAATGATGTTTGGTAAGGGACATGCAACAGGATATCAGGAATGTAGCTAGAGTTGGAGAAATCAAAAATCACAAACTCCTTCCTCTTAGAAAAGATAATTATGGTGTTTCAATCACAGAGACCCTCTACAACTATTCTGACTTTTCCCAAGCTTTTTGAAAGAGAAAGGATAAGACCTCAAGTAGTATGATTTGCAGAAATTTACTTTAGAAATAGCTCATGAGGGAATTCAGTTCCTGTATGAACCAGCTATATGATCATTGGTAGAGCTTCAAGTAACTGGAGACGCTGGATGCTAAACTCTCTTGATGCCTACTGTTCTTTCCTAATTGAATGAAAATGTGGGAAACATTGGATCTGAGAGGTTGAAGACAATTGTTGTAAAATGAATGAATGTATTATATAAATTATAAATCTAAGATTATATCCTAGCATTATATCAATATAGCTCTTGATTGAGTTTTTCTTTCTGAACTCTCCTCTAGTTTTTACACTAAGAAAATAATATCAACTCACAGGATTTTGGAAATTGAATGATACTATCTGAGAAAAACGACAATGTCATATATTCACTCAATACATGTTCTTACTACACACAAATTTACCGAGTCATTGCTGCCTGCAAATCATTGTTCTGTGTGGTCAGAATATATTAGTAAATAAAATGAATTTACAATTTTTTATGATGACGACAAAGACAACAATGATATCATCATCATCATAAAAATAACTAATAATTTTATAATTTTTGATATGTGACAAGCAATAGTATAAGTATTTTATATCTAACATAATCCTTCTCTAAAAACAATGAGACAGAAATTTTTAGTTATCTGCACTCAATACATGATAAATTCAAATATAGTGAGATTAAAGCACTTGCTCAAGGTCATGAAGCTGGTAGATGGCAGAACTGAGATCAAAGCCAGGGAGTCTGGCTCCAGGATCTGTTCTTCACCATAATGCCACCTAATTATACTAAGTGACTATTAGTTGATTCTCCCAGTCTACTGTCTGAAAAAAATCTGATAGTTAAAAGTTACAGTGACTGAGAAATAATCCCTTATTTTTACCTAGGGAAGGCTAGAAAAGTTTAGAAGAAAAAAACAAGATTTATTTTAAGCATTAATTTTAAATCATTAAGGACTAATAAGCATGAGGTATAATTAATCTAAGTAACTTGTATGGTATAAAATTGTTCAGTTACATGGATTCTTATATATTTAGAATGCTCTTAATTTGTGGAAGAGAAAGATGACCACTGTAGAGCCTAACTAGTTTTCTATGATGACTGCAGGATACAGGGTAGGACTGCGACTAGAATGCCCAATAAAAAGGAAGGTCTCAGTGGGTTTTTTCACACATTTTTTTCTGTCTCTATTGTGCAGTCATTCAATTATAATATATAAATGAAAGATTTAATTAAATTAACACCAACATACACACAAAAGATATGCATTATTCTGCCTTAGGTAATAAGCCAAACCCAAGTTAACAACTCAAGCTGTCACCTTTGAGGTTAATAGTGTCCTTACTGAAAATAATTCAATAAATATTAATGAATGCTAAGACTGTGTTTATAGTAAATATTGGTGTTAGGATAGTAAATAAGTTGGAAAAATAATTATTAAAGCAAATCTCGTGCTAAGATTGCTTTAACTACATAACTGGAACAAGTAGATCTAAATGATATAATATTTTAATATCAAAAATTTTTTATGCTCTTTGAAATGATGAATGTAAATTATAATATTATTATTCATTTTTCTAGACTTCTAGACTGTTACTAAATTATTAACTATGAAAATCAGTAAACTGATTCTTCATTTATGTATTGGTTACCTCTAGTACACAAAAATACTATTTCACTCACCTAAACATATGCATAAAGTGGACTCCTGTTCAACTGAAAAGTAACACACAAAATAAATGTATTTTTAAGAAAAATTTAAATAATCCTGGATGTAAAAAATACATGTTTATTGCTAATCATAGGTACATTTTCCCTCAGTATGAGAATGATATTTTAATAAATTATGCTAAAGGAAAAATGAGCGAAACATTTTTTTCAAGATAATTTATAATGTCAAGTCATGCATGAGAGTAATGAGATTAATAATAGAAAGTATAGATTTATTCATTCTCTGGATGATAAATCATGATAAGTCATTACAGTCATTTAATTCTGGTGCAGTAAAACCATGTGATGGCAAAGAGAATGGATAATACTATTTAGAACAGTCCATGTCTAGTTGATGTTTTAAAATTAAGTCAGCGTTGTTAGTAGTGTTCTAACATTGTTTTACATTAATAGAAGTCTGGCAAATTTGAATGGAATATAAATCATATAAGAATTGAATACTCTCTCTGAAGATTTCAATACAGTACACGAAGAGAACATTCCAAGATCAGCTAATTTATCTTATAATTTATGATTTTATGACTCATACATTGATTGAACACTTTCATGAAACATATCGTTCGTCCAAAAATTAAGTTATAATAAAGTAATAAACACAAAGATCACAAACTTCATTTTAATCAGTCCATAACCATTTGTATCTTTATTATTTCTATGTAAAATCTCATTTTATTTTTTAAATAATTATACATTTATAAGTATTATTTTAAAGTTATGTAAACATCAGGCCCACAATTCATAAGTTACAAAGGGATTTTTCTTGGTTGCCTCTGACCCATAGTCCTAGTAAATTATTTGGAATTGCCGAGTGTTACAAGTTTATTTAGTAGTCTTTAGGGGATACTTCTCACATACAAAGTATACATATTTGCTTTTATATTCATTTATTCACTGCCCTTTTTACACAAAATTTAACATAATATACACACCATTCCAAACTTTTCATTTTATTTTACTGTTGTGAAGTCAGTCTTGGAGACCATTTTATGTAGCATAAAAATAACCATTTGTTAAA
The DNA here is from genome assembly GCF_000001405.40 of Homo sapiens. NCBI lineage: Eukaryota > Metazoa > Chordata > Mammalia > Primates > Hominidae > Homo > Homo sapiens. The sequence continues at coordinate 27,563,520 of NC_000005.10, read as the reverse complement.
TTCGGGTGGCCTATTTCATGTTAGAAAACACTTACTAAAAAATTTAAAAAGTGAGATATATTAATATGTATATTTTGAATTAATACATTAAAAATAAGATCAAGTAATAGGTCTAATTGCTATTCTAATTTTGAAATGTATGAGTTTAAACCATATTTTGAGATATTCATGAAAATGTAAAGTACAATAAAAAAATCTAAGATTTCTACTTTTAATTATATTCACAGCTACTCTGAAAGTATTATGACTTGGGTTCTGTGATCACAATTTAAGAAAATGCTCAATTTTAGAGCTTAGTGTGAATAATTTGTTTGTTTGCTTGCTTGCTTTGTTTTATTTTCTAATTCAAAATCACAGATCAACTGAATGCTTTTACATGGATCTGTGGACCCCAGGTATAGACCCTACTGTTGAAGAGAATGCAGAGTCTTTATTTTTGTTTTCAAATTTGTCTGTTTAGAAAGTATAATCACTGACATCAAAACTCTGAAAAAGTACACATTATTTATTTTTATGTTAGTTTCTATCTGGCAAAACTGAATATTAAGAAAGTATTAATCTGCATAAATACTCAGTTATTCTAACTTTACTTTCTGTTATATATTTACTTTCCATTATAACATGAAATAATATGTTATTCCATTATATAACATGAAAGAGTTCGTATAAGTTCTTAATGGATACTGAAATAATGATATAAAATTAAGATTGTCAAAATCTATGGTTAATGTTATACCCATAATAAATTAAATTTGTTACCATTATCAGTCATCTGATTTTAATAGCATTTCTGAGAATGAAAAATATTATCTTTTGAAAGATTTATTAGCTGAAATCATGTACATCTGTATTATGATTGGTGAGAGTTTTTCCAAATAGTAATGTTAAAAGAAACACAGATACATCATTATAAAATGAAATTAACCCAGGTCAATTTGCAGATGTAAATTTAATCTTTTAAATACATTGAAATAAAAGGTGATTTCAGAAGTTTGGTTTACTTACATGTGGACTTTGGCATAAATTAGCAAGTGAGATTTTATAATTCTATGAGGATAATTTCACCTTTATTGAAGTGCAAATGTATTAGAATATAAATTATAAAATCTTCTCCCATGTACATTGATGGCATGCTTTTTTCAAGTTAAAACTAAGAAAAATAAAATGTTCTCTAGATAGGTTAAAAAATTTTCTCTGGCCTCTTGGAGGTATTTATTAAAATGTCACATTCTTAGTGAGGCCTTTATAGGCCAGCTTTTTTTCTTTTTTTTTTTTTGAGACGGAGTCTCGGTCTGTCACCAGGCTGGAGTGCAGTGGTGCAATCTCGGCTCACTGAAACCTCTACCTCCCAGGTTCAAGCGATTCCCCTGCCTCAGCCTCCCGAGTAGCTGGGACTACAGGCGTGCCACCAATCCGGCTAATTTTTTGTATTTCAGTAGAGACGGGATTTCACCATGTTGACCAGGATGGTCTAGATCTCCTGACCTTGTAATCCACCTGCCTTGGCCTCTCAAATTTCTGGGATTACAGGCTTGGGCCACTGCGCCTGGCCTAGGCCAGCATTTTTAACATTGCAACCCCATGCTATTCTTTCCCTACATTTTTTTTTCTGTGCACTTAAATTTGTAAAGGATATTATACATTTTATTTATTTATTTTTTTATTTATTTTTTTGAGATGGAGTTTTGCTCTTGTTGTCCAGGCTGGAGTGCAATGGCGCGATCTTGGCTTACCGCAACCTCCGCTCCCTGGGTTCAAGTGATTCTCCTACTTCAGCTTCCCAAGTAGCTGGGATTACAGTCATGCACCACTAGCCCGTCTAATTTTGTATTTTTTTGGTAGAGACAGGGTTTCTCTATGTCGGTCAGGCTAGTCCGGAACTCCTGACCTCAGGTGATCCGCCCTCCTCGGCCTCCCAAAGTGCTGGGTTACAGGCATGAGCCGCCGCGCTCGGCCGGATATCATACGTTTTCTTTTTCTTTTTTTTCTCTTGTTTACTGTCCACCCTGCCATCTAGAATACATGCTCCAGGGGTGGGGATAGGCAAAACGGGGAAGACAGGGCTTTGTCTTTCTGTAGCTCAGACTCTATAACTTGCCTGACACAGACTAGGCACTATATAAACATATGTTGATAGAGTCTAATTAGTGTTTATAACTGCACTAGTGTGTCCAAACCTCATGAGCTTCCCTTCTTAACTACCTATGTCTCAGCCTGGCCACTTTTAACAACACACTCATTTAACTAACCACCAACCCCAGCAATGATTCTCACATTGTAGCTAAGCATATTGGTACCCTGGCATTATTACAAAAATGTTGAATCAAAAGATTTGTATTATCTCTAGACCTAGTGTTCCAGGGACTATTCTTAAGGGCCTTAATTGTAATAATAAAGATTTCTGAGCTCTGGTATTCTGGTCTAGTTTCAAAGACTTGGAAACTCTACCTTCCCAAATTTAATTTAATGCCTTCACTCTATAGGTATGCTAATTTCTACCACTTGTTCTAACTACCATGTCAAAAACCGATGGATTTTTCATTCATTCCAGCATGGGGAATTGGGGCTCAATACCCAATAAATCACAGAGGTCCATGGTATTTGGGATCTTAAAGTGATTTGGATTCAGACCAGTGGTTTTTATGGATGACAGCACATACTTATCACTTGGGGGAACTTTTAAACTCCAGTTCCCCCAGTCCTCAAAGTCCATAGTTTCACTCAGACATAAATAGTGTTTAAAACTTCCCGGGTGACTCCACTGTGCAATTACTGGGCCAATGTTCTAGCTCTGTTGCATCACTAAGAGTTCAGGCATTCTTAATCAAGGTCTGAACACTCCTTAAATAATCAATATATTCCATTTGATTCCTACTAAAATTTAGCCATGGGCATTTCAATTGTACTTAGTTGCCACACATCACAGAACAAAATTTGCAGGTTGCAAGGGAGTTTAACAAGAAAGATAGAAAGTTGTTGTGTTTCCTTATCAGTCCAGACAATCCGGGCTAAAATTTTGTCTTCTTTTTATTACAAGTTACAAGACGTTAGAAAAAACAATTCAACCCCACTATGATTTCTTTTCTTTAATTATTGCTTTATTTTAGTGGCCACCAAGATGCCTATCTGACCTTTAGTAAGTATTGCAATTTGAGCCTCAAAAAGATTAAGCTCCAGCAGAGCAGAGTCTGTGTCTGGTATTCCCAGTTCCTGGAACAAGGTCTGGTACATAACATGCTATGGTGAACAAAACAGAAATCTGGCAAAGGCTTAAATGGCAGATTAAATGCATTAATAGCATTAGACAATGGTACTCCATCTCATGATTTGTAGGAGAATAACATATCCTTGCATATAATCACAATACTCAAAATAATTCAAAATATCTCATATTTGGGGTTTGGTACATGCAATTCCTTTCTACAATCAGTCGTTGGGTCATAATTTGACTCCACATAATTAGGTGTATGTTGTAAGGCTGTGGCTAACCAAGGAAGAAAAAAAAAAAAAAGAATCTCAGCATCCCAGCTATCACTCCCTGACAGAAATCGTTCTCAACATTGGCTCTGCATTATAATAATGTGGGTAGCTTTAAAATATTTCCATACTCAGTGTATTTGGAATATACAAAGGTATATTCCAAATCAATTTCATCTGATGTTCTGGGTTCATGGACTCAGTTGATCAACCTTTTAAAAGGCTCCTATACATGTGATTCTGATATATGAGCAGGATTTATAATTATTAAAGTAGGAAAAGCCAAATTTTATTTCATAAAGAATTATAATCATAGACACTAAGTCACTTAGCAAGGAAGATCACTTATCAAATAAAACAGCACTAAGGAACTTGGAAGGAGATATTTCCGAGTATTTTTCCTGTGCTTTCACATTTAGATGACTCCCCTACTCTCTCTTGCTGTCTGTTTTTCTTTACAGTCTTCTTACTGAACCTCCTGTTCCCAAGTGTCTTATTCATGTTTTACTCCATGTTTTTCAAATGTTAACATGCGCCTATCTGAATCACCTGGAAGCCTTCTTGGCCCTATCCCCAGTGTTTCCATTTCAGAATGTTTGAGATTGGGCTCAAAAATGTTAATTTTTATTTTCTTCAGAATTCAATGGTATACTCTAAGAGTTGTAAAGCAATCATGATCATCTATGTCAGATTGTTTTCATTATCTCAAAAAGAAAAAGGAATCCTCATACATTAGCAGTCATGTCAATTATTTATTCTAGACATTTTATGTAAAGGAAATAGTAAAATAGGTGTTTTTTGTGACTGTCTTCTTTATCTTAGCATAATGTTTTCAAGGTCCATTGATGTTGTAGCATACATTAATATATTATTCAGTTGCATTACTAACATTAATTTGTATGGCTGTATATTTTATTTATTCATTCATTAGTTGCTGGGTATTTGTGTTGTTTCCACCTGTAGAATATTATAAACAATGTTTCTAAAGCATTCATGTTTTTATGTTAATCATGTTTTCATTTCCCTTGAATATATATGCAGAAATGAAATGAAGGGGTCATGTGGTAATTCTATGATTAACCTCTGTGGAACTGCCAGCCTCTTTTCCAAAGTGTCTGCACCATTTTACACTCACACCAACAGTGCATGAGAGTCCAATCTTTCACCATAAGTATGATATTAATTAAAAGGTGGTTTGTAGATGCCTTATATCAGACTGTGCACATTCCATTCTATTCTTAGTTTGTTCAGTGTCTTTATTATGTAAGCATATTTGATATTTTAAATAGCTTTTTCTGTGTCTATTGAGATGATCATGTGTTTTTTTACCCTTATGATATTAATATGGTTTATTATATTAAGTGATTTTCAGATGTTAAAACAAGCTTGAACTTCTAAGAGAAATCACATTAGTCACAGCATGTAATTCTTTTGATATGAAACTGGATTTGGTTTACTAGCATTTTTGAGAATATTTACATCTATATTCACAAGGAAATTTTTTTCTATAATGTCTTTATCTGGTTTGGGTGTCAGGATAATACAAGTTTATAGAGTGATTGGACAGTATGTCTTCCTTTTCTACTTCGTGTAAAAAATGTGAATTATTGATTTTGATTTATTTTATTTTATTTTTCTTTAACTTTTAACTTCAGGGGTACACGTGTAGGATGTGCTGGTTTGTTACATAGGTAAATGTGTGCCATGGTGGTTTCCTGCACAGATCATCCCATCACCTAAGTATTAAGCCCAGTATCCATTAGCTATTTTTCCTGATGCTCTTCCTCTCCCAATTCCATCCCCAACAGACCCTAGTGTATGTTGTTCACCTCCATGTGTCTATGTATTCTCATAATTCAGCTCCCACTTGTAAGTGAGAACATCCGGTGTTTGGTTAACCGTTCCTGTGTTAGCTCCATCCATGTTCCCGCAAAGGACATGATCTCTTTCTTTTTTATGGCTGCATAGTATTCTATGATGTATATGTACCATATTTTTTTGAAATCCATTCTATCATTGATGGGCATTTGAATTTAGGCAACAGGTACAAAATTACAGATAGGAGGAATAAGTTCTGATGTTCTATTGCACAGTAGAATTACTATGGTTAAGAATATTATATTGTATATATCAAAATAGCTAGAAGTAAGAATTGTAAATGTTCTCACCACAAAGAAGTGATAAATGTATGAGGTGATGGATATCCTAAATACCCTGATTTAATTTTTCCACAATGCCTACATGTATCAAAATATCTCTCTGTATCTCACAAATATGCACAATCATTATATGTCAATTAAAAAAATATTCTATAAAAATAAAAATTAAAAAATCTATACTCAAAAATCTTTCGTCAAGAACATAGCATACCTAGAACAAAATAAACCCCAAACAAGAAGTAAGACCATATTAAACAACAGAAATCAATGAAATTGAAAACAGAAAAAAATAGAGAAATCAATGAACAAAAAGTGGATTAACTGAAAAGATTAATAAAAATTGATGAATGTTTGGCAATGTTGTCCAAAAAATAGAGAAGTTGCAAATTACTAATATCATAGATATAACAAGAGATATCACAGAGGACTTTCAAAGATCTGATGGAGACATCAGAAATATAATAAGGGATTACTAGGAATAAAAATACACACATAAATTAGACAACAAACAAAAATCAATTTCTCAAAAACGCAATTCTCTCAAATAAAATAGATAATTTGATTAGCCCTATTCTGCTAAGAATATTAAATTTCTAATTAAAGAACTCTTCCCCAAAATCTCCAGAACAGATGATTTTCCTGGAGAATTTTATGAAACATTTAACAAAGAATTTACACCAATTCCACGTAGTGTTTTCCAGGACATATCACAACATATTTCATAAAACTAATATTATTCTGATATTAAAATCAAAAAAGACAAATATGCATGCCAATATATGTCATAAATGTAGATGTAAAGTTCATAGCAAAATGCTCAAAACTATAATTCATAAATAAATGAAAATAATTTTATTCCGTGATCCAGTGTGGTTTATATCAGAGATGCAAGGCTGGTTTATATTTAAGAGTCAATTGCTATAATCTATTAATAGACTAATGACAAAAAGCTCTCAAATAATATGAATCAATAAAATGAGGTCCATATATTTTTTGGTAAGAAATAAAATAAAATGTCTTTTGGCAATTTTAGAAACAGTTTAAGATGTCATATCAAAAACCTCCCCTGTCAAATATCTAAGTCAAAATGTTTAAGTTGAAACATAGCTTCTTTGCAATACCATAACCATTTCTAAGAATTTAATTTTTTATCACATTCCATTATTTTTCTGGAAAAGATGATAACTGTGATCATTCAATAATGGTGCCCATATTTTTAAATATGTAGGTAATTTCCATGTACATTGTATATTGTATTTTTAAGACCTTTGTTTCGGTTAACATATGTGTTTATGTGTGCATATTTAGGAATTTAAAAGTGAAAATATGTAAACATTTCAGCTTTTGCCTTTTAAATAATTATTGGGTTTATGTCACTATTTTACTTTTGTTAAACAGTTGGAATTTTATGGAGTCAAGTATCAAGGTATTTTTCTGGCATTCCTTATTGATGTAATTTTTATGGCTAATTTTCCCCCAGATACATACACATACACATGGACATACATATATGTGTAATATTTTATCATTATTGTGAAATTTAAATTCTAAATCCACATAGATTTATTTTGGTGTTTTGTATGCTACATAGATCCCACATTGTAATTTCTAAAAACAGTATTATTTTGAAAATATTTTTTTCCACCTATTTTGGATACATTCTTGATTATGTCAAAAGGTTTCTTAAAAACTTCTTTGTTTCGTGAAACATTGCGAACTTCAGAATGACAAATCTATTTAGAAAAATAAGATTAAATCATAAACTTTAAATATAAAATTATTCCCTCATTCAAGCTTTTCTTCCTTATACCAGATTCTACCAATTCAATCAATATGTTTGAAGGACAGACACATAATAATATTTGGATGCATTAGACAATTAAAAGGTGAAAAATATGTAAAATTTACACAAATGTACCAATGAATTATCTTGTTTAGAACTTAAATGTGAAGATTGAAAGAAAAAGAATTCATTGGCTTGCAGTTGATATGTTGTTTCTGGTAAGGAAACTCAAATTTACACATGTAAATTATTTTAAAAATTAGTAGAAAATAATTAGAATTAATTCATTCTTCTATGGAATATTAAATAATATAGAATTTTAACCAGCGCTTTTATGTCCATAAATATTAGTTTTTAGTTTTGATTATTTAAAATCACTTATACTTTAATTTGCATACTTAGTTTCATGGAAAATTTTGCCTATTTTATGTTTTCGAACTTAGCACTGAAAACAGAATATAATTCCCAAGGAGATTTCTACAGAGAACTTATTTGATTGTGAGATGATGATTCATTTTACAGTCAGTTATAATACAACTGAGAAGCTAGAAAACAAAACAGAGCAGAAAAAAACACAAAACCTAAAATAGCAAAGATAAGTTCATTCATTTTAATTATTCTTATATTGAATACGTATTTGTTACAAAATAAAGTTTTGCCTGATTTACACATCCTGTTGTTACTCCATGAAAACCATGAATATCAAAAAGGTAGGTGTCCTTATTGCCACTTCACTGAAATAAAAATTGGAATTTAGATATATTCATACAATGAAGCAGAAATATTTTAATGATAAATTGTTTCTCAAGCCTTCACTCATAGTTACTGCCTTCAGTTTGGATGTATTTTAATGCATCTGTACCTTACTTTTGCAGTAAATGCCCTTCAAAAAGTAACGAAGTAGATTTTAGGTGTAGTTTCTTAAAATCAAGAACATTCCTAATAAAGGGATGTCTAGGCAACAAAATTAAATTTATTTGACCCAACAGGGAATTTATAATAGGAGAATTTTATAGCTCAGAAAGTAAAAATAGATGATAATTATTTAATATTATTTTAATATTTTCTAAGTAAACACTGTATTTTAGCAGAAGAAAATTTTAGCAATGCATCCTGATAGAAAAATGATTATAATTAACAATACTGGGTGAGAACACAAAATTGTAACGTATTTCATTTCATATATTAGAGTAAAGTTGTTAGGATTAATGGAACAAATTATGATTTCACAATAATTTCACTTAAATGGAACCTCCAATTTCTCTGATATGACATAGATCTAGAATTTATTTCACACAAAAATGTATAACTGAATGTGTGTGTATCTGTTTGCAGACTACAATTCGTCTATAGATTGGATTTCAAATTCTATTAGGAAGTTTGTTTGTTCAAATTTGAAACAGAGTTTCCCTGATGCTATTTTCTGAATGTTTGTGTCCCCCCAAAATGTATATATTGAAATATAATCCCCCAATTATACTCTTAAGAGATGGAGACTTTAGGTTGTGATTAGGTCATGAAAGCAAGCAGAGTCCTCAAGACTGGGATTAGTTCAGACAAGAGACCCATGGAAGCTTGTTTTCCCATTTCGCCATGTGAGCATACAGCACATAGCTCATTATCTATAAAGTAGAGTGCAGGCCCTCACCAGACAACAGATCTGCTGGCACCTTGATCTTGGACTTCCCAGCCTCTAGAACTGTAAGAAATAGATTTCTGTTGTTCATAAGCCACCCAGTTTATGATATAATATCACAGCAGCTCAAACAGACTAAGGCACTTGATAATGAAAATAAAATAAAATGGTTCATTGCAAGACTATAAAGTTTTACCCTGTACAAAGAGAGAATTAGACTCTTACAAGAAATAGCTTTACTAGAAAGTTTTCCAAACAGTGTTTAATATTGTCATTGTGTTACCTCTATTATGAGAATGTTTTCCTGGTCATTTATATCTTGTTCATCACTACATTAATAATTTAAGAACTGCTTTCACACAATTACTGCGAATCATTGTGTGGATATTATAACAACTCTAGTAACTACCATTTTGTTTAATGACCTCAAAATTCATTTTATTCAACAAAATTATTCTTTATTATATGTGAGGAAAGAAACTACATATTTACAAATTTTAAATGTGCTTATTTTACCATAGATATGTAAATTAGCTGCAAAAGGCCATTGTCTAAGATTTAGTGCACCCATATAGACATATTAATTATTGCTTCCTTGATTAGAAGAATTTCTTTGACATTAATTGTGTAGTATTTATCTCTCTTAATATCTGTATACAGACTTACACAGACATCTGACATCAAAGTGTAAAATACTGCTTATTTATCTGGCAGTACATAATTCTGAAACAATGAAAAGTAATGTCAATTGCTTTAAAGTAAACATTTCTCTAACAAAAGTTAAAAACATTACTATCTCAATATTTTTGTTAGTAACATAGCAGTCAGTGAGCATTATATTAATAAAAAGTCACCCTGATGAGCATAATAAAGAAAGAGTTCGATGGCCTAAAGAAGCAGTTTTGTTATTATGTAGTAGACAAATAGGCACCAATGGACATAATTATTTCCTTAAATATGTTTTGAGGGGAACATAAAATACAATGACATTCACCTTTCCAGAACTTGTGCCTCTTTAGGGTAAATTTACCTTTCTTTCCTCATTGAATACAAATGTTAATACCATCCCTCTTTTTTCTTCTCCCCTCCCAACTCTCCTTTTTGACTAGACCAATGTCCAAGGCTAGTGTGCACTTTGTAACTCCACTGCAAAGCACATTTACTTCCTAATAATCTGAGACTTAAATGCAGTTTCCTCCAGGTATCATTGAGAGATGGTTTTAAGGATTAATAAAATATGGCCTATGAGACTATTATCTTTCTCATACCTGCTTTTCCTTCAGATGGTGTACAGGATAATCACAGATCGATTGTTTAAAGAAATATTCCTATATTCTTAAAATAGCCAGCAATTTTCACATATAGGTTAAATAATAATAAATTAATATAAATTCTTAATTATAAGTTCCCTGGATCATTCATTGATGTATTCATTAAGCAAACTTTGGATGAACATCCTATAACATACTTTTAGGTTCTGGTTGTACAAATATTTGTATCAATATGTCATATTTATATTTATATTAATGTCCAGGTGAATGAAAATTTTTATTTTAAAATTATTTTTAAATGTTATCTATTTATGATGCTTTAAATCGCCAATATTTTACAAATGAAATATGTTCATTTATTCATTCATTCCTCTCTGGGAACTTAGGATATAATATTGAAGAGACACATGATGAACAAATTAAAAATTCATAGCCCCTTACTCAATATGCTCCTTCTGAAGAATGAAACCTTGCCTAAAGACCAGTCTGACCTCAGGAACTCTCACTCCAGCTCCAGATCTGGAATGCAAACTTGGGAATGGAGCTACAGTGGCCCTGACCCACAACAAGTGAAGTTTTGATGCTCATCATGCAAGGTACCTGGGAGACTGAGGATTTAAAAAATTGAGATATAATTCATATGGCATAAAATCCACTCTTTTGAAAGTGCACAATTGAGGGAAGAGCCAAGATAGTTAACTAGACTCAGCCAGGAAGAGCGTCTCCTACCAAGAAACCAGACTGTCAAGTAGACCAGCACACTCTGAACAAATATTTGGAAGGAAGTCATTGAAAGTGGAAAGAGGGGGGATGCAGACTCTGAGATGAAGGGTGAGGAAGCTGAGATCCCCACATGGTGTTACCAAGAACCAGGACTCATTCCAGGCCCAAAGTGGCTCCTAAGGATGGGCTGATTTAAATAGAAATAAAGTGACCCACTCTCACTGCTGGTCACTACAGACCAGCAGAATTCTAGCTTCAACAGACCTCACAACCCTCATGGACATTTGAGCTGGCAGGAAGAGCTGTTTGAAGAGTTGGCAAGGACAGGACTCCAGACTGTGTGGAGCCTAGAGGGTTTGGCCTGGGAACAGCAGCAATGAAGTGTGATCAGTTATGCCCTGCTGTAGGTGGTTTTGGGATTTATTGACTATCGGACCTGTACAGGGACCGAACAGGGCAATCTTGCCAGTGGAATGGGATCAGTCTGATCTGACTTCACCCCTGCTTGCTGGCCTCTCCCAGGGTTCCTGCCTGACCACACCCACTTATGGCAAAGCCTCAGATGCCCAACTGGGGCACTTCTCAGTGGCCACTGCCATAGCTCCTTCACCTGCAAATCCCACCTAAGCATCAGAGAGCTTCTGCAAACAGGTTCCTTCTAGTATGCACCTGCTTGCTGTCTCCCCGCACTGCTGTGTAGGCACACACTTGCCTGCAGCATCCCCCCACCATTTTGTTGGTGTGCACACATGTGTGGACCCAACGACCCTACCATCCTGCTGCCTCTGCTATGTGCAAGTGCAGACCCCACTGCTGCCAAAACAAAGTGCTTTTGCCAGCATCTCTGTCACAGTGTTGTTGCCAGTTGACTGGGAACACTTCACCTCTTTCAGTAGCAGGTGATAAACCTTGAGTGGCCACACAACAATGTCATGGGCTTGGTCCCACACCCCAGGCTTAGAGCATGCAGCCTAGGACTGCAGAGCTGAGCCTTGCTTCCCTGATATTGTCCAGAAATAAAACCAGTTGACTGAAACCAACTTATACTACAGTCAAACCCCCAAGGGTACCTATGAATGTAAAATCAAAAAGCCTCACCTGCAGGAGAGTGGCTTTAAAAAACCACAGATCAGAAAGAACTAGTGCAAAAACTCTAGCAATGCAAAAAGCCAAAGTGTCTTCTTACCCCCAAATGACTGCACTAGCTCCCCAGAAATGATTCTTAACCAGACTGAAATGTCTGGAATAACAGACACAGAATTTAGAATCTGAATGGCAATTAAGATTATTGAGATTCAGGAGAAAGTTGAAACACAATCTAAGGAAAATAAGGAATCCAATAAAATTATGCAAAAGCTCAAAGATAAAATAGCTATTTTAAGAAGGAATCAAACCGATCTGATAAACTTAGTAAAAGTTTAGCTCAGTACAAGAGCTGAAAAACTTAGTACAGGAATTACATAACTACAAGAATTTCATAGTATAATCAAAAATATTCACAGCAAAAGTGATCAAGCTGAGGAAAGAATCTCAGAGCTTGAAGACTGTTTCCTCAAATCAAATCAGTCAGATAAAAATAAAGAAAAAAGAATATTAAAGAATGAATAAAAAGTCTGAGAAACATGAGATTATGTAAAGAGAGCAAATCAATGACACATTCGCTTCCTTGAGAGGGAGAGAGAACAAGCAAAATGGAAAACATATTTGAGGGTATTTTCCGTAAAAAAAAAATTCCTGAAACTTGCTAGAGAGGTCAACATACAAATTCAAAATATTTGAAGAACACATATGAGATAGGAGGTAAGACAATAATCTTCAGAACAGAAATTCATCAGATTCTCCAAGGTCAAGGTAAAAGAAAATGTATTAAAAGCAGCTAATAAGAAGGGGCAGGTCACCTCCAAAAATAGCACCATCAGGCTAACAGCAGAACTTTCAGCAGAAACCCTAAAAGCCAGAAGGTATTGGGGGTCTATATTCAGCATCCTTAAAGAAAATAAATTCTGTACAATAATTTTACATACAGACAAACTAAGCTTCATATACAAACAAGAAATAAAACCTTTTGTATATGAACAGACACTAAGGGGATTTATTACCACCAGGTACACCTTTCAAGAGGTCTTTAAGGAATCACTGAACTTGGGAATGAAAGACCATCACCAGACACTGAAAAAACACAATTACATACAATATACAATTATACAATAAAGCAACTATACAATCAAGTCTGCATAATAACCAGCTAACAACACAATGACAGGATCAAATCACACATATCAATATTAACCTTGACTATAAATGGGCTTAATGTCCCACATACAAGGCACAGTGGCAAGTTGAATAAAGAAACAAGACCCAACTATCTACTGTTTTTCAGAGACCATTCTCACATGCAATGACATCCATAGGTTCAAAGTAAAGGGATGGAGAAAAAAATCTACTAAGCAAATGGGAAACATAAAAGAGCAGGGATTGCTATGCTTATTTCAGATAAAACAGATTTTAAATGAACAATAATCAAAAAGGACAAAGAAGGACATTACACAATTAAAATAATTCAAAAAGAAGACAACTATCATAAATATATATGCAGTCAACACTACAGCACCCAGATTCAAAAAAGAAGTTCCTAAAGACCTGTGAAGAGACTGAGATAATCACAATAATAGTGACAGACTTAAATACCCCACTGATGGCATTTGACAGATCATTAAGGCAGAAAACTAACAAAGGTATTTGGGACCTAAACTCAAAACTTGACCAAATAGACCTAATGGATATCTACAGAACATTCCAACCAACAACAACAGAATATACATTCTTCACATCTGCAGATGGCACATACACTAAAATTGAGCACATGCTCAGCCATAAAACAATTCTTTCAACAAAATCAAAAACACCAAAATCATGCCAGCCACACTCTCAGACCACATTACAATAAAAAAAGAAATTAGTACAAAGATCTCTGAAAATGGTGCAATTACACGGAAATTAAACAACCTGCCCCTGAATAACTCCTGAGTAAACAATGAAATTAATGCAGAAATCAAGAACTTCTTTGAAACTAATGAAAACAAAGACACAGCATACCAGAATCTCTGGTACACAGCTAAAGCAATGTTAACAGGAGAGATTACAGCACTAAACACTTACATCAAAAAGTTAGAAAGATCTCGAATGAACAACCTGACATCACACTTAAAGGAACTCAAAGAAATAACACAAATCAATTCCAAAGCTAGCAGAAGAAAAGAACCAAAATTAGAGCCAAAATGAATGAAATTGAGATGCCAAAAAAATGCAAAAGATAAATGAAACCAAAAGTTGTTTATTTTAAAGCATTTATTTTAGGTTTAGGGGTTCATTTGCAGGTTTGTTATGTAGCTAAATTGCATGTCACAGGGGTTTGGTGTACAGATAATTTTGTCACCTAGGTAGTAAGCATAGTGCCCGATAGGTAGTTTTTAAGCTTTGCCACCCTTCCACCCTTCACACTCAAGTAGATCCTGGTGGCAATAGTTCCCTTCTTTGAGTCCATGTGTACTTAAGGTTTTGCTGCCACTTATATGTGAAAACATTCCATACTTGGTTTTCTGTCCCTGGCTTAGTTTGCTTAGGATGATGGCCTCCAGCTTTATCCATGTTGCTGCAAAGGACATGATCTCATTCTTTTTAATGGCCGTGTATTCCAGGATGAATATGTAGATTTTATTTATTCAGTCTACTGTTGAGGGGCATCTAAGTTGATTCTGTGTCTTTGTTAATGTGAATAATGCTGTGATGCATACACAAATGCATGTCTTAAAATAGAATGATTTAAATTCCTTTGGCTATGTACCCAATAGTGGGATTCCTCAGTCAAATGGTAATTCTGTGTTAAGTTCTTTGAGGAATCACCAAACTGCTTTCTGCAACGGCTGCACTAATTTACCTTCTCCCTGCAGTGTATAAGCATTTCCTTTTCTCCATATCCTTGCCAGCATCTGTTATTGTTTTTTACTTTTAATAACAGCCATTGTGAGGGATGTAAAATGATATCTCATTGAGGTTTTTGTTTGCATTTCCCTAATGATTAGTGATGTTGAGCATTTTTTCATATGATTCTTGACTGCATATCTGTCTTCTTTTGAAAAGTGTCTGTTCACATCCTTTGCCCACTTTTTAATGAGGTTATTTGTTCTTTGCTTATTGATTTGTTAAATTTCTTATAGATGCTGGATATTAGCCCTTTGTCAGATGCATTGTGTGGAAAAATGTTCTCCCATTCTGTAGGTTGTCTGTTTACTCTGTTGACAATTTCTTTTGCTGTATAGAAGCTCTTTAGTTTGATGAGATCCCGTTTGTCTATTTTTGCTTTTGTTGTAATTGCTTTTGGCATCTTCGTCATGAAATCTTTGCCCATTGCTATGTCCAGAATGGTGTTGCCTAGGTTGTCTTCCAGGGTTTTTATTGTTTGGCATTTTACATTAAAGTCTTTAATCCATCTTGAGTTGATTTTTTATATGGTGTAAGAAAGGGGCCCAGCTTCAGTCTTGCGCATATGGCTAGCCAGTTAACCTAGCACCATTTATTGAATAAGGTGTCCTTGCTCTATTGTTTCTTTTTGTCAGCTTTGTCAGAGATCAGATGGTTGTAGTTGTGCAGCCTTATTTCTGGGTTCTTTAATTTGTTCCATTGGTCTATGCATCTGGTTTTGTACCGGTACCATGCTGTTTTGATTACTACAGCCCTGTAGTATAAAGTCAGGTAGCATGATGCCTATAGCATTGTTCTTTTTGCTTAGGATTGTCTTGGCTATTCTGTTTTTTTTTTTTTTTTTTTGGTTACATATGAATTTAAAAATAGATTTTTCTAGTTCTGTGATGTATGCTGTGGAAAGCAGTGTGGTGATTCCTCAAAGACCTAAAACCATACCCACCATTTGACCCAGGAACCACATTACTGTGTATATACTCAAAGAAATATAAATCATTCTATCATAAAGACACATGCACAAATATGTTCACTGCAGCACTATTCACAATAGCAAAGACATGGAATCAACCTAAATACCCGTCAATGGTAGACTGGAATAAATAAAACGTGATACATATATACCATGGAACACTTTGTAGCAATAAAAAAAAAGGTGATCATGCTCTTTGCAGGAACATGAATGAAGATGAAGGTCATCATTCTTAGTGAACTGAGGCAGGAACAGAAAACAAAATACTGCATGTTCTCACTTATAAATGGGAATGAAATGATGAGAACACATGGAAACATAGAGGGGGACAACAAACACTGGGGCCTACCGGAGGGTAGAGGGTGGGAGGAAGGAGAGGATTATCGGAAATAACTAATTGATACTAGGTTGAATACCTGGGTGGTAAAATAATCTGTACAACAAAGTCCTGTGACATGAGTTTATCTGTATAACAAACATGCACACGTATCACTAAACTTAAAATAAAGATTTTTTAAAAAATGGAACAGTCACACAAGATTTTGTGTGCAATTTCACAATATTAACACATTTTCCTAAAGTTCAACACTAGGTTCCCTCCAAAAGCTTGGTGCACCTTTATGGGTCCCAGTTAGAACCCCTTGACTTAATTTTACTGTCCTTTCTTAATGTAAATGGTTTTCTTTAGAGAAAAACTTGGATGTCTACCCTACGTGATTATATGTGCCTTGCCAACAGCATATCTTTTGTTTATTCCTGGTAAGTGAAGAATATTTCAAGATATAAAAGACACTGGAAAGCATTGTTTTACTTATTGTTATTAATCACATCTTCTTTAGAAACTGTTTTGTGAATGAAATATGTGTACCAGAAAATGTATCTGCTTCCTTTTGTAAATCAATACAACAAACAAATACATGCTGTTTAAATGCTGATATCATATTCTCAACTCATCTGCCTATTTTGAAATATTAGAATACTATGAATATGCTTAAGAAACAAGTAATGCATCAATGTAGATAAAATATTAATCTTTTTAAAAAATTTAGGTTTATCAAAAAGCCTTAAGAAATTGTGAGAAACAAAAATAAAATATTGATGCATTAAAATATAACAGAATTTCGTTTTACTAAATTTGGATATTATTATATTCATTTTACAATGGAAGAGCTTGCAACATAATTCGTAAAACAGAGAAAATGTCTGCACAGAAATGACAGAGTTATATATACATGAGGCACTCAGTCACCCTTGCTCATTACATTTTCTTTCACTGAGAATTTTAAGAAAATAATATATTTAAAACATTTTTAAATATGAATATTCACATTATATTTCCATCTTTAAAATCAAGAACACTCAAACATTAATATTTTACAATGCTGAAAAAATTTCTGCCCCCAAGAGAATGTGATATGATTTTACAAATTATTCATTTTATAATTTAAAAGCTTATTGTCATCATATGTCTCCCAAAGTATGTGCGTGTATATGCACATATACACAAACACATACATACATATATGCACACAAAAATGTTTATATATGTAATTTTGGGCTGATAACATTTGAAACTTTTCTGAAAGAACAAAACTACTAAAAAACCCAAGTGTGTGCATATAAATATATACACACACACTCAGGTTTTTGATATATGTATATCAGAGTATAACATATATATATATATATCAGAGTCTAATCAGAGTATATCTCTGATTTCTGTGAATCTTGTTGGCTTTATAGACAAGATTCTTAAAGTCTGCATCATGACTTTTAAAAGTTACAGGATGAATTCCTTCATGCAGCTGATTTTTGATGATTTCACAAGGACAAACTTTAGTTATTTGAAATTCATCACTAGCATTTTCCCAAAGATACATAAATAGTATGGTGCAGCACTGAATTCATTTAAAATGAACTAATCACAAAATCATATCATGATGAAATACGTGTCAAAAAAATGACATAGCCATATTTATCTTAAACCAAGCATAGTCATCCACAGTCATTAAAGGTGGTCAGTCTGAAAATGGAAATGAGATTTAAGGGTAAATATTCTTGTTCATTCCAGTGGTTCAAACAGAATAGCAAGCAGGTGAGCCTATAAATACCTAAACTTTTGTAAAGTTAAGTGATAAATTAAGGAAAGGGAATATAATCATACTTTTTAAGATAAGGCAAGAAATTTTTTCTATAAGATAGAGCTATGATTATGCTATAACATTGGTAAAATAGTGGACAACAAAACAGAGAGCATAAAAAGTATGAAACTAAGTCATTTTAAACTGTGAAACTCCTATTTGTTAGAAAAACATTACAAATCCATGGGTATATCAATTCAATAAACCTTATTAAAAATGTAGCTATTCATAAGAAAAAAGTAAGGTATGATTCCATCACACCACATGAGAGAAAATTCCCAAATAAGTTTACCGTATTAGTCCACTCTCACGCTGTTAGGCTATCAATAAAGACATACCCAAGGCTGGGTAATTTATAAAGGAAAGATGTTTAATTGACTCACAGCTCAGCATGGTTGAGGAGGACTCAGGAAACTTACAATCATGGCTGAAGAGGAAACAAACACATCCTTTTTCACATGGAGACATGAAGGAGAAATGCTGAGCAAAGGGGTAAAGTCCCTTATGAAACCATCAGATCTCATGAGAATTCACTCACTATCACAAGAACAGCATAGAGGTAACAGCACTCATGATTAATTTATCTCCCACCAGGCCCCTCCCACAACACGTGGGGATTAATTATGGGAACTACAAGATGAGATTTGGGTGGGGACACAGAACCAAACCATATCATTCCACCCCTGACTCCTCCCAAATCTCAAGTTCTTACATTTCGAAACACAATCATGTCTTTCAAGCAGTCCCCAAAAGTCTCAGTTCACTCCATCATTAACCCAAAAGTCCAACTCCAAAGTCCAATTTGAGACCAGACAAGTCCCTTCTGTCTATGAGTCTTGACTGTAAAGTCAATAGCAAGTTGTTACTTCCTAGATACAATGGGGGTACAGGCATTGGGTAAATACACCCATTCCAATTGGGGGAAGTTGACCAAAACCAAGGGGCTACAAGTCACATACAAGTCCAACATCCAGCAGGGCAGTCAAATCTTAAAACTCTGAAATAATCTCCTTTGTCTCCATGTATCACATCCAGGTCACACTGACCCAAAGGTGGGCTTGCACGGCCTTGGGTAGCTCCACCCCTGTGGTTTTGCAGGATACAGCTTCCCTCCTGGCTGCCTTCATGGGCTGGTGTTGAGTGCCTGTGGGTTTTCCAGGTGCACAGTGCAAGCTGTTGGTGAATATACCATTCTGGGGTCTGGAGACCAGTGTCCCTCTTCTCATAGCTCCACTAAACAGCACCCCAGTGGGGACTCTGTGTTGGGATGCCCACCCCACATTTCCTTTCCACACTGCCCTAGTAGAAGTTCTCTATGATGGCTCCACCCCTGCAGTAAACTTCTGCTTGGACAATCAGGTGTTTCCATACATTCTCTGAAACATAGGTGGAGGTTCCCAAACCTCAATTATTGACTTTTGTGCACTACCAGGCTCAATAACACATGGAAGCTGCCAAGGCTTGGGGTTTGTAACCTCTGAAGCCATAGACTGAGCTGTACCTTGGCTCCTTTTAGCCACAGCTGGATCTGGTGGGATTCAGGGCACCAAGTCCCTAGGCTGCACACAGCCAGGATGCCCTGGATCTGGCTCACGAAACCATTTTTTCCTTCTATGACTCTAGGCCTGTGATGGAAGGGGCTGCCATTAAGACCTCTGGCATGCCCTGGAGACATTTTTCCTAATTGTCTTGGTGACTATCATTTGACTCCTCGTTACTTATGCAAATTTGTGCAGCCAGTTTGATTTACTCCCCAGAAAATTGGTTGCCCTTTTCTATTGCATTATCAGGCTGCAAATTTTCCAAACTTTCATGAAATGCTTCCTCTTGAATGCCTTGCCACTTAGAAATTTCTTCCACTAGATATCGTAAATCATCTTTCTCAAGTTCAAAGTTCCACAGATCTCTAGGGCAGTGGCAAAATGCCACTAGTCTCTTCCCTAAAACATAACAACAGTCACCTTTATTCCAGTTTCCAACAAGTTCCTCATCTCCATCTGAGACTATCTCAGCCTGGACTTCATTGTCCATGTCACTATCAGCATTTTGGTCAAAGCCACTCAAAAAGTCTCTCATAAATTTCAAACTTTTCCATATCTTTCTGTCTTCTTCTGAGCCTTCCAAACCATTGAAACCTTTGCCTGTTACCCAGTTCCAAAGTTGCTTCGGCATTTTCAGGTATCTCTACAACAGTGTCCCACTACCCAGTACCAATTTACTGTATTAGTTCATTCTTATGCTGCTAATAAAGACATACCTGAGACTGGGTAATTTACAAAGGAAAGAGGTTTAATGGACTCACTGTTAAGCATGACTGGGAGGCCTCAATAAACTTACAATCATGGCAGAAGGGGAAGCAAACACGTCCTTCTTCACATGGCAGCAAGAAGGAGAAGCACCAAGCAGAAGGGGGAAAAGCCCGTTATAAAACCATCAGACCTCATGAGAAGTCACTCACTATGATGAGGACAGCATGGAGGTAACCACCCCCTAGTTTCAATTACCTCCCACCAGGTTCCTCCTACGACTTGTAGCGACTATGGGAACTACAGATCAAGATGAGATTTGGGTGGGGATACAGCAAAACCATATCGTGGGTGGGGATACAGCAAAACCATATCAATTTAGGACATAAATATTTAAAGAAAAACTCTCAAATAACATCTAGCAAATAAGATACTATTATTGTGATATTGCATAGACTAGAAATAAAATGAAAATACAAGGATTAAAATGAAGATTAAAATGTTATATATACTTTAGTTTTTTCTGAACAAGGAAAATGAAATAAATAATATTAAAATATAAGCAAACAATTAAGGAAAGATGTTTCAAAGCATGTAATTAACCAAGACTTTTTAACCAAAATATATTGCAGAATTTCATCAAAGCAACAAGCTTAAAAAAAAACACACAAAAATATGGAGAGAATATAATCAAACACAAAATTAAAGAATTCAAAATGCTCTCAAAATAATTATGTGAAAAGAGGTTGAATTTTACACACAATCCTGACAATACGTAATGAAACAACAGTGAGATATCATTTCACTCACAGCACATTAATAAACTGGTTCTTTAAAAAATAAACTTTATTTTTTACAATATCTTGTATTTTTGCAAAATAAAGTTTGACTACATTTTTTCGTCATGTGCTGCATAATGATGTTTTGGTCAATGGCAGTCTGCATATATGACAGTGGTCCCATCAGATTATAATTGAACTGAAATATTCATATCACACACTGACATAGCTGTTGCAATGTTGTAATGCAACACATTACCTTTTCTATGCTTAAATAAGATTAGATACACAAATACTTACTATTGTGTTACAATTGCTAACAGTATTCACTACAAGAACACGCTATACAGGTTTGTAGCACAGGTGCAATAGGCTATGCCTGTATAGCCTAGGTATATAGTGGACTATGACATCTAGGTTTGTGTAAGTACATTCTATGATGTTCTCATGACAAAATTGCTTAATGACATATCTGAGAACATATTCCCTTTATTAAGCAATGCATGACTACGTTTTAGATTTACAGAGAAACTGTGAAAATTGTTCTGACTTCCTTTGTAGATCACACCCAGGTTCTTCTATTATTAATATCTTCCATTAGACTTGTTCTTTTATTTATTGGTTTATGAATAAACCAATATTTATACATTATAACTAACTAAAATCTGTACTCTATTTAGATTGCCCTAGTTATTTAGTTTCCTTTTTTTTTTTAATTCCAAGATCTCATCTAAGATGTTTTTCTTATTAGACTAAGGTTATTGGTTTGGGGGAGGAAGACCACAGAGAGTATGTGAATTTTTATCAAAATATATCAAAGATACATGCTATTCATGTCACATCACTGTTGATGTTGACACGTTGACCTTGATCGCCTGGATATGGTAGTATTTGTCAAGTTTCTCTACTCCAAAGGTAATATTCTCCTTTTACATACTGTACTCTTTGGAGAAATTTATTATGCCCAGCTAACACATCATGAGTGCAGTTAATTTTCACTTTTTTGAGGATGGAGTATATATATAAATTATTTGGACTTCTTCTATATGCAGTATTTGTCTCTTATTTATTTATGTTTTCAAACATTTATATCATTACAGATTCATAAATATGTATGTTATACTCTGGTTACATTCAATAACACATTTGTGGTTTTTTTGTTCAAATTGTTCTGACTGTGGCTATTAAAAGCTATTTCTATTGGTTACTGTTTCCCTGGTTATGGCTAGGTTTTGGCATATTATCTTGCAGTATTTTTTTAACAAGTCCTCACTCTCTGGAACTTTAAGATACTCCAAAATAATCTTGTGTATTTCCTACCCCAGCCTTACAAACAGCCATTTCTTCAAGGAGTCCTTGATCCTTTTATTGCAGAATTGTATTACAAACCAAGATCTGGGTGCTAGATCTATGTATGATAACTGGAGGGCCCTTGCTTCCAGGTCCTCTCTGCTGAAAAAGCAATTAAATATATGCAATTAAATAATTACTTAATTGCAATTAAATATACTATCAAATGTATAAATTTGATAGCAATTAAATATACTATCAAATGTATAAATATAAATATGTACATAAATATGTATCCATCTGTACCTATAGTTAACTATACATGAACTTACATGAATATCTCCCACTCTAAGCCTGTAGCACATGGATTTGCCTCAACACCCCCGTTACTTTTCTAGAGTCTCACTCCATCAGTGAGAAATCTGACTCCCACCATTCACCATATATTTGCTTTATTGCTCATTTCCAGTACACATATACAGCAGTGTCAAAAATGTTAATCAATAACCTTGCAGGACACAACTTTATAATTAGATTACGGTGCTTATGGGCCTTTTCTTTTACATTTAGTCTTACAAATTTCAACCATTTTCAAAGTTACTAGATCAACAGCTTTCTCCCCCAATGTCCTTCAATAAAGTTGTTTTATACATTTGACATAGAGTTAAATCATTTTGTCACATTCTGCATTTCATTCTGCAATCCCCATCATCAATGTTTTTTAAATTTGCATACATAAGCGTCCACTTTTTTTGTTGTAGAGTGCAATTGATTTTGGCTTGCATAGTGTCATGTCTCCACAATTACATTTGCATATAGAATAGAAACAACAACAACAGAATACAGGAGAATCCCTGAATATGCAGGAATTAATGATACATTTAAAAAAGAAACATGAAGGGAAATTAAAAAGTATATATATTTTTAAATAGCAAGGAATAAATCAAAAGTTAAATTGGAATATACTCTTTCCCTGGAAAAGAATAAAAATACTATCTATTAAGATTAGCGAATGTAGCTGAAACAGATAATTCACCCCACAAAGAAAATTTGTTTCACCTATTTAACCCTCCCCTTACTCTCCAACCTCCACAACCACTGATATTTCTATCATTGTAGCTTCATCATTCCAGAATGCCATATAATTGTAATCATACTATATACAGCTTTTGCATACTACTTTTTATCACTTAGAAATGTGCATTCTAAGTTTCCTCCATTTTTTAATGTCTTGATAGCTCCTTATTCTTTATAGCTAAATAAAAACCCATTGTATGCATGAAGCATGTCCAACACTTTATTTATCTATTGAAGGACATCTCAGTTGCATTCTTTACACACAACTTACTTCTAATTTGGGGCAGTTATGAATAACGTTTCTATACATATATGTGCAAAATAAAACGTGATGACTTTTTAAATGTCAGTCTATTTCTGGGTTTTCAGTTATGTTTCATTGATCTATGAATCCATTCTTCAGCAAATACCAGGCTGTCTTCATTAGTATAAATCTATATTGTCTTAAAATTGAGTAGTATTAATTTTTCAACTTTCTTTTTTGAGTACTGTGCTGTCTATTGTATGTCTTTGACCTTTCCATATAAATTTTAGAATCTGTGTACTGATACCTAAATAATTTTTTGATGGAATTTTGATTGGGGTTACACTGTCTCTGTAGAACAAACTGGGAAGAACTGGCAGCTTAACAACACTGAGTCTTCCAATGTATGAACATGGAATACATCTTCATTTATTTAGGTCTTTGATTTAACTTCAACACAATTTTATAGTTTTCAGCATATTAATCCCATATATATTTTGAAAGATTTATATCTTTCTTACATTTTTAATATTATAAGTAATTTTTTCAGCTTTTATAATCAGTAGGTACATGTGCAGGTTTGCTACTAGAGTATATTGTGTGATGCTTAAGTTTGGAGTATACAGTTGAATAAATCATCCAGATAATGAGCATAGTATTCAATAGGTAGTTTTTCAACATTTACCCCACTTCCTCTCTTGCACCTCTAGTAGTCTTCAGCGTCTGAAGACTGAAGTCATATTTATGTCATATTTATGACATGAAGTCATATTTATGTCAAAGTGTACCCAATGTTTATCTCCTAATTATACATGAGAACATACGGTATTTAGTTTTCTGTTTCTAGATTAGTTTGTTTACAATAATGGCCTCCAGCTGCACCCATGTGGCTGTAAAGGACATAATTTCATTCTTTTTTATGGCTGCATAGTATTTCATGGTGTATATCTAACAGATTTTCTTTATTTCATCTACGTTGATTCCATGTTTTTGCTACTGTGAGTAGTGCTGCAATGAACATACAGGTGCACATGTCCTTTTGGTAGAAAAATTTATTTTACTTTGAGTATATACCCAGTGATGGGATTTCTGGGTCAAATGATAGCTCAAATCTTAGTTATTTGAGAAATCTCCATAAAACCTACAGAATGGAAGATAATATTCCCAAACTATGGATCCAACAAAGGTCTAATATCCAGAATCTATGAGGAAATTACACAATTCAACAAGCATAAAACAAATCACCTCATTAAAAAATAAGCAAAAAGACTTGAATATATACTTCTCCAAAGAAGACATACAAGCAGCCAACAAACATATATAACATTGCTCATCATCACTAATCATCAGATAAATGCAAATTAAATCTACAATGAGGTACTATCTCACACAAGTTAGAATAACTTGTTTAAAGGTCAGAAAATAACAGGTTTTGGTGAAATTATAGACCAAAAGGGGCACTGGTACACTGTTGGTGAGTTTAAGTTCGTGGTGTAAATTACTTCAGCCACTGTGGAAATACTTTTAAATTTTAAATTCCCATTGTTTAGTAAGATATAAAATGCAAAATGATTTTTACATGTTAGCCTTGTGTCATGTGACCTTCTACATCACATAATAGTATCTTGGTGAATGTTCTATATGAGTTTGAGATGAATAAATATTCTGCTGGTGTTGAGGATGGAGTATTCTATCAATATCAGTTAGACAAAGTTGGTTGATAGTGCTATTCACTATCACTACATCTTTATTGATTTACTCCTGTTTGGTTTATCAATTATTTAAAGAGGAATGTTAAAGTCAGTAATTTTTTTTCTGTAAGTTACTGCCTCTTGTAGGTTGACACTGTGTTGTTAGACGCACACAAGTTTAGGATTTGTTATATTTTCTTGAGGAACGACCCCTTTATCATTATGTGGTGTCCCTTTATTAGTCCTGAAAAATATTTTTATTTGAAATTCTGCTTTGTCTGAAATTAAAATAGTAACTGCAGCATTTTTTTTTTCACTGATGTTAGCATAGTATACCTTCTCCACTTTTCCTTCAAATTATTTGGTTCTATAATTAAGGTCTATTTCTTGTAGACATATAGTTGGGACTTGTTTCTATAAACATTCTGACTGTCTCTACCTTAGAATGAGTGTATTACTACTGTTCCCATTTACAGTTACTTTTAATATAGTTGAGTTAAACATTTCTTAGCCCTTGTTTATAATCATGTCCTACTTATTGCACCTTTCTTTGTTTATTTTTACTTCTTCCCCTTTGTTCAGCCTTTTTTTATTGTTTTTATTTAATATTGTAGATAATTGAATTTTTCTCTCATCTATTACCATATTAACTATATCTCTCTTTATTATCTTTAATGGTTATCCTACAGTTCTCAATATCCATTTTTAACTAATGTACTCTAACTTCAAATATCACTACAGCATTTCACATATAATGTAGGTACCTTTGAGTGTTATAATCTTCTCCCTCTCATATCTTATATCACTGCTTTAATTCATTTCACTTATCCATAGGTTATAATTACCCAACACACTGTTATCCTTATTACTTTGAACAAAGTTATTTGTTAGATCAATTAAAATAAAGATTAAAATATATTTTATCCCTATTGATTCCCTCTCTGATGCTCTTTGTGTAGATCTGCAGGGAAAAGAAAGAGAGATCAGACTGTCACTGTGTCTATGTAGAAAGGAAAGACATAAGAGACTCCATTTTGAAAAAGACCTGTACTTTAAACAGTTGCTTTGCTGAGATGTTGTTAACTTGTAGCTTTGCCCCAGCCACTTTGCCCCAGCCACTTTGACACAACCTGGAGCTCACAAAAACATGTGTTGTATAGGCATCCCATACTATTTTACCTTTGAATCTAAAGTATTTTTTCTTATCTAAATAATTGAGGGAGAAAGAGTAAGAGAAACTAAGTTTATAAATTGCATGAGTTCTTGAATTCTGACGAAAATATTTTTGACTTTTTCACGCAGGTATATTATAGAAATCTAGAAATTAATTTCTAAATAAATACGTGTGCATGTGCAGGTAACAATTCTTACAGTATTTTAATGAAAAACTGTGCATACGGGAGGTCTTATGGTGTAGAAATAAAGAATACTGACAATGAGGTCAAACTGCCTGAATTTAAAACCTATCTAAATTAGTGACCATGTGATCATTTATAAGGAAATTAATCTCTAAAGTTAAAATAATAATACTAACATCAAACATGTTTATGAGTCTTAACTTACATGCATTAAAAATTCTTTAATATATATAATTTATTAAGTATTTAATATATGTTGGTTATATCATGGCAAAAAAACAGTCTATGCAATTTAAGCAAATATAATCCATACCTACCATAATAGATTTTAATATCAAATAAATATATATTTTGGTTTATTCATTTGCTTTTTAACTTTCCTAAAAATAAATGGAATTTGATATTAATAAATAACATAAAAAATACAACCGAAAATCAGGATAAAATATTTGGATCTTCACTGTTAAATTATTTAAAGAATTAGAGATAATAGATTGTTAATGGTCATAATCACATAATCATGATCATAGAAACCGACGGGAGTTTAATTTCTAAATGGTTCACAGAAAGTTTCCATTAATTTTAATATGCTTTCCCTCTTCTGATTCCATTTTAAATCAATAATTTTGATAGCTGTTTAGTATTTTTATTGGTATGGTCAGTGAGATTTGGATATATGAATCAACATTTCAAGAGAGGAAAGAACAGATAAATATTTTCAAGTTTTGCCCTTAGCACTCTACTCTTTTCTTTCTACAATGTTTCTGTTGAAAATCTCATTGACTGCCATTATTTTAACTTTCCCAGTTATAAGTACGTCTTAGTTCTGCATTAACTTTTCTCTTTAACTGGAGTCAGCATTTTCAACAGTTACTGGTTTATTTCTATATGTAAAATACTTCCATTTAAAATATTATCTAGAGAAAGAGAACTAAATCATAAACATATGTTATAATTAGTTATACATAAAGAAAATGGAGTCTCTTAGAATTTATGTGATGTAACTTAAAGCACAGATTCAGTAACTAGAAAGGCAAAGGCTAAAACATATGTTTACAATATAAATCCACTGCCCTTTGTATATGGTACTCTTATATGTAAATGTATCCTAATGCATAACACTGTTATAATAATTCCGTTTTATTATATCACTGTACTTATATCAACATTCATAACATGCACAATTGGTGTTTCATTCAGATTTAATTTATTTTATTAGCTCTTTCCAGCATTGCATATATGGAGAAAGCCCCTTACACTAAGTTATCTGAATGAACTGCTCCACATTATGCTTTGATGAAGGCATTATTGCTTTGTGTCTCTTTAGGGTATTGCAGATTCAAAAATATAAAGCTTATTAACATGAAACAGCTCCCTGGAGAAAAGTGTTCTGTGGAATCCAATGTTTACAAACATTTATAGCCCTATCCATCTAAAAGCTGTCCATTAGTTAGCAGTAAATCAGAATGATTTGCATTGAAATACACTATTACCTTTAGTGGCCATGCTACAATGCATGCAAGTGCACAGACACACACACACACAGAACCCCCCCACACACACACACATTTGTATATAATATATATATGATGTGGAATAATACTATTCTGCAATGCCTTCTTCTAAGTTAAAGAAATCCACTAACAAATTTAAAGAGAAATACATTATATATTTATTTTCATATTCAATCCATGACCATTTCTATAGTGGTCCATACCTAAGATTTCTTTTATCTCAACTCTGTAAGTATTACCTTGAATTCTGAAAAAAGTGATGATTTCAATCCTGAATAGTAATATTTCATATCTGCTAACTGGATTGGATGAGTTTCAGTTATAACAAAACAAGAGATATCAGGATTTTATACCAACATATGTATTTGTTAATTTATTAAATATATGTGAATATATGTGCAATATGATCTAGTTTCATTAATTTATTCATTTATCTACCAAGTATTCATTAAGCTCACAAATGTCATATTTCTAACTCTTTACAGTAGACACAGGTTTGAAAGAAAAACATTAAATTAAAGGAGGACACAAAAATAAAAAGTAAGGCAAAACTTAGTAAACAGATACAGACACTATCCTTGTATAAGAAAAGACTGGCATCACACAAGAACTGTAACAGGTAAGGTGATAAGTTATTGTCTCAACAACTTTTCTGCACATCAAAAAAAAAATGAGGCACTGCTTTTAGAAAATACTATTTACCAAATAAAGAGGAATGTCATATAAAGATAAGGGAACTCTGGACTTGTGATGGAGGCTGGTTGAGGATGGGAGCTCTTACAGTAATAATTTTGATTTAGCAAATGAGATCAGACTTAAGAAAATCAGAGGTGAGCCTGTTATATGCTTTACACATAGACAATGACAAATATATCAGAAGCAACTTAACTAAATGAGTAAAAATATAGTGTGCTGAGATTGGGAGATTGTCCAGTCCAGATGCTTAATTTTTCTCAAATAATTATATATATGTAATCATATTTACATTAAAATTCCAATAAAATTACTAACCAAGCTCCATTTTATTTGAAAGCACAGGGTTTTGGGGATTATATATACTTAGTTTAAAATATCAGTTCACTTGTTAATTGAGCTATGTACCCTTGGACATTTGACTGATTTTTCTGATCCAGTGTCTTACACTGGGACAATAATGTTATCTTGTTTAATGATAAAGGTGAATAAATGAGATTTCATGTATGAAATAGCCACTGTAGTGTTTGACACTCAGAAGGTGCTTTCTGAATGTTGATTTTGCCTGTTTTTTTACATACTCAGTGACTGAGAGACCTATTTGATGAGCAAAATCTGTGCTCTTTCTTACAAAATTGTCACTGGGAAGTATTTGCCCAAATAGAGACTATATCTTCCAGACCAATCAGTAGGTACATAAGTCCATGTTAATAGTTCTTGCACATAAATATAAATAATGTGATGTGTTTCCTCAGAATAGGAATGTTAAAATCAGTGTGCTGAATTTCAGCTTTCATTACCCACATGTAATGAGATTAGAAATCATCACTTCCTTTTTTATAACAACCTAAAAAAGTAAAACAAAAGAAAAACAAAAACAAAACAAATCTATGGGATTCATCAGAAAATTGACCTACAGGGCAGACTACAATCCTGAAATTTGCAGAGACAGATGAATATAAAAGTTATACCAAGATCTATTTATTTGCAACAGAAGTTGCTGGGGTCATAAACTGTAAAATATATTTAAATGCTAATATTATGAAAACACTGAGGCTGAATATAGACCAGCAATTAGAGAAACTCTAGGGGGCCATAGCCTTGTGGGTGAGTGGGGAGGTACTTCTTTTGGTTTTATCTTCAGCTACCCCACCAGCATACCAGTGTAGTACCAGGAAGAGTAAAAATGATTTGTGTATGTGTGTGTGTGGCTCTGATAGATGGTGGAGGAAGAAGCAGCATTATGAAATATTTCCAGAGAGTTCTATGTAACAAAAACCTTCTCTCCAACAGAAACCTACTTTACCAGAGCTTAATTTTTACCTACAGGGAGGCATGTAATAAAATTATGTGCCATTTAGCTTTCCAATCACATAAGTTATAAAAATAGATATATCATGCCAATACTAATAAGAAGAAAGCTTGAAAAGCTATATTATTTTCAGAAAAAAGCAGACTTCATAAAACAACAAATCATAAGGGACAAAAGGAGCATTGCATAATTATTAATAGGTAAATTCTTCAAGAAGACATAACCATCTCTATTATGTACCTACTTAATAATAGAGCATCAAGATATGTAAAGCAAAACCTGATAGAACTTCAAGGAGAAATAGGCAAATCTATGACTATATTTGGAGGCTTGAACACTTCTCTATCAGTAACTGACAAATTCAGCAGGCAGAAAATGTATGAAAATAGGTAAACTGAACAGCAGGAGCAGTCAACTGAATCTAATTGACATTTATAAAATACTTTATCCAAAATAGCAGGACACATTCTTTGCAGCATGAGACATTCACAAAGATAGACCAAATTCTGGGCCATGTAACACACTCAAACAAATTTAAATAATAAAAATCATACAAAGTATGCTCACAGACAATTCAGGACAATTTTCTAGGTGGCCCGAGTCTGACCTAGTTCTACCTTTTCCTCTTCTTATTTACAGTTATCAATAATAACTGTGGAATAATGCTAACAATGCAACATCCTGAGATAAGAAAGAACTAGCCAGAACAGCCCAAGCTGTGTTCTAGTCCCTTTTAGAAATAACATATCCTTCAGTGTTTTAGCCCAGGGTGTCCAGTGCCCTGCAGGTTATAAAACCCAGGGTACACTGCTTTCTATTTCCCTTCAGTTGTAGTGCAGGTGAAGCATATGCAGACACAATTCCACCTGCCCTGAGCAGCTTTCCTGAAACTTGAGGGAATGGCTTCTCCTGAATGCTAGACTTCTGTTGTCTCTTATTTTCTATGTGTAAATAATAAACTCATGTTGTACAACTTCTGTCTTACTGGACTTGGGCAACTAGTAAAAGTGCAGTTCAAGATGTAGTAGGTTACAACAGTAACCAGTGCACAGTGAATCTACCTAACAGACCACAGTGCAATTAAACTCAGTCATAGAAAGATAGCAGGAAAACCTCACTATATTGGATTAAACAACACACTTCTAAATAACACTTGGATCATGAAAGTCTCATGACAAATTAAAAACAATATTTTGGCCCATCTCTACTACTCTGTCTCACCAGCTCCAGGAGTTCCCAGATGGCTCCATCACATCCTCTGTCATCCTGTGTCCTACAGGTTATCTGTATGAAAGATGTCCTACTGGGATATCTGTAGGAAGGATGCTGAGTTATTCTGGAATCCAGGAAATGTTTTGCCTCCTTTGAAATTTAAAAATGAGTATTGGGAAATGAGGGCAAAGGTAGCCAACTAGATCCAGCCAGGAAGTTCTACTTCCACTGAAAGATAACAAAATATTGAATACACCAACATACTTTAAGCAGATCTCTGGAGATGAAACACCAAGTGTCAATAGTGAGGCAGCACAGAAACTGAGACTGAAGAGAGAGGAACCTGGCAGCCCTGCACAGATATGCCAAATGCTAGGAATAGTTCCTGGTCCTGAATGGCTCTAAGAGAAGGGAGCACGGCTGTGAACACAGGGAAATATAAAAAAAGGTGCATGGCTTGGTAAGTGCCTACATGCTAGCCGTTAATCTTAAGAAGCATCTACTGAATTAAAATCCAAACTAATATATATCCCTATGAAACCAAAGGCAAGAGATTAGTCACAAATAAAGATCCTGTGCATAACCTTGGCCATCTGAAACCATCTAAAATGAAGCCAATTGACTATATTAAACTGACACTACCTTTAAAGACAAGCCGTCTCAGATGAGAAAAAAATCAGTGCAAGAACACTGGATATTCAAAAAACCAGAGTGACCCCTTGCCTCCAGGTAAGTCCACTGGCTCCACAACAATGGTTCTTCACCAGAGTGAAATTAATGAAATGACAAATATAGAATGCAGAATCTGGATGGCAAGGAAAATCATCAAGATTCAGGAGACAGTTAAAACTCAATTAAAGAAGGACAAAGAATTCTGTAAAATGATGCAGGAGCTAAAGGATGACATAGCCATTTTAAAAAAGAACCTAACAAATTCTAGATTTGAAATATGCACTGCAAGAACTTCATAAAAGAGCTGGAAGTATTAATATTGGAATAAACCAAGCTGGAAAAGGAATCTTAGAGCTTGAAGATCAATCCTTCAAGTCAACTCAATCATACAAAAATAAAGACAAAATAGTTTTTAAATGGATAAAATCTCCAAGAAGTAGAGATTATGTAAAAAAAAATCAAACCTGCGATTTATTGATATTCCTGAGAGAGGAGAGAGAGTAATAAACTAAAAAAAACATATTTGAGGATATAAACCATAAAAATTTCCCTAATGTCACTAGAGAGGTTGACATACAAATTCAAAGAAATAGAGAGAACTCTGGCAAGATACTGTACAAGAAAACCATCCCTGAGAAAGGTAGTCATTAGATGCACCAGACTCAGTGCTAAAGAAAGTATCTTAAAGGTAGCTGGAAAGAAAGGTCAAATCATATACAAAAGAAACCCAATCAGGCCAGCAATAGACCCCTCAGCAGAAACATTACAAGCCAGAAGAGATTGGGGTCCTATTTTCAGAATCATTAAAGAAAATAAATTTCAACCAAGATTTTTTGTATCCCATTAATCTAAGCTTCGTAAGTGAAGGAGAAATAAGATTTTCCTCAGACAAGCAAATTCTGATGGAATTTGTTACAACTAGGCTAGCCTTACATGAGGTCCTTTAAGGAGTACTAAACATAAAACCAAACAAAAAAAAAAGATACTACCACAAAAACACAGGTAAGCACATAGCAGACAGGCACCATGAGTAAGCAAGTCTACATGACAACCTGGTAACAACAAAATGATGGACTCAAAATTACATATACCAATACTAATCTTGAATGTAAATGGGCTAAACACCTTACTTAGAATTAAAATATGTATGTACCCAACATTAGAACAACCAGATTTATAAAATATGTCGTTCTTGACCTACAAAGAGATGTAGCTTCACAATAATAGATGGAGACTATTTGCGGACACGAGTTATAAGCAAGCTAGTCCACGTAACAACCAGATAACAACAAAATGATAGAATAAAAATCACACATACCTATACCAACCTTGAATGTAAATGGGCTAAACACCTCACTTAAAAGGCATAGAGTATCACGCTGGATAAAAATACAAGAGCCATCTGTTCACTGTCTTTAAGACACCCATCCCACATGTAACAACACCCACAGCCTTAAAATAAAAAAGATGGAGAAAGATTTACATGCAAATGAAAAGAAAAAAAATAACAGGTGTCACTATTCTTACATCTGATACAACAGAATTTAAACCAACAACAATTAAGAAGGAAAAGAAGGGAATTACTGATAATAAAGGGTTCAATTAAACAAGAATACTTAATTATCCTAAATATATATGTACCCAATATTGAAATACCCAGATCCATAAAATAAGTCATTCTTGACCTACAAAGAGATGTAGCCTCACAATAACAGTGGGAGGCTTCAAAATCTTCCAGACAGTATTGGACAGATTATTAATGGAGAACACTAACAAAGAAATTATGGACTAAACTTGACCCTCAACCAATTGGACCTAATTGACATCTACAGAATACTATACTCAAGAACCACAAAATATACATTCTTCTCATCTTCACACTGAACATATTCTAATATCATGTTTAGTCATAAAAGTAAGTCTCAGTAAATTAAAAATAAAATAAAATAAAATAAAATCATGCCAAACACCCTCTTGGACCACGTTGCCTTCAAAATAAAAGTTAGTATCAAGAAGATCTCTTTAAATTACATAAATATATGGAAATTTTGGAACTTGCTCTCAAATAACTCCTGGATGAACTATGAAATTAGGGCAGAATCAAAAAATTAATAAAAACAGGAACACAGCTTACCAAAATTTTGGGGATGCAGCTAAAGCTATTAAAAGTTTATAGTGCTAGATGCCTTCATGAATAAGTTAGAAAGATGTCAAATTAACAATCTAACACTGCACCTAGAGGAACTGGAAAAATATGACAACTCCACCCTAAAGCTAGCAGAAGAGAAGAAATAACTAAAATTAGATGAGAACTGAAAAAAATTGTGGTGTAAAAATCCATACAAAAGTTCAACAAAACCAAGAGTTGGGTGTTCAAAATATTTAAAAAGATTGATAAATCTCTAGCTAGATTAACAAATAAAAAGAAAAAGAGAAGATCCAAGTAAGTACAGTTAGAAAAGACAAAGATGACATTATAATCAATCCCACTGAAATACAAAGGTCCCTAAGAGACTATTATGAACAACTCTATGCATACAAGTTAGAAAATTTAGAGGAAATAGATAAATTCTTGGAAACAAACATCCTCTCAGGAGTAAATCAAGAAGAAAGTAAAACCCTGAATAGACCAATAAGTTCTGAAATTGAATTGGTAATAAAAACCTATCAACTGCAAAAATCCCTGGACCAGATGAATTCGCAACCAATTTCTACCAACATGTAAAGAATGGGTACCAATCTTACTGAAACTCTTCCAAAAATTCAAGGAGGAGGGGCTGCTCTCCAACTCATTCTATGAAGCCAGCATCAGCCTGATAACAAAATCTGGCAGAAATATAACGAAAAAAAAATAAACCTCAGGCCAATAATCCTAATGAACATAGACATAAAAGTCTTCAATGAATATCACACTGACTCCAGCAGCATATCAAAAAGTTAATACACCATGATCAAGTAGGTTTTATTCCTAGGATGCAAGACTGGTTCAATATATGTTAATCACTAAATGTGATTTACTCCATAAAGAGAATTAAAAGCAAAAACGATATGATCATCTCAATAGACACAGAAAAAGATTTTAATAAATCCAACTCCCTTCATGATAAAAACCTTCGACAGACGAGGCATCAGAGGAACATACATAAAAATAATACATACATAAAAATAATAAGGGCCATCTATGACAAACCCACAGCCAACATCACACTAAATGGGCAAATGCTGGAATGACTCTGCTTGAGAACTGTAACATGATAAGGATGCCCACTCTCACAACTGCTATTCAACAAAGTACTAGAAGCCCTAACCAGAGCAATTTTGGGTGTTGAAACTATTCTGTATAATACTAAAATTATGGATATTTAACATTATGCATTTGTTAAAACCACAGAACTATTTAACAAGAGTGTGAACTTCAATGTAAACTATGAATTTTATTAGCAATAATGCATCAGTACTGTGTTATAATCTGAAGATATTAATAATAACAGAAATATGTGTGTGTGTGTGCACGTGCACACACATGCATGTTTGAGGAGAGGGGCAAGAAAACTGCACTATCTGCTCTAATTTTTTATAAGAATTGTTTTAAAAAGTTAAAAAAAAGTATACAATGACTAGAGACTGTTAAAATTGTACCAAAGTAGAAAAACTGGATTTTATATCATAGAGAATAAAATGATGAAGATTTACTCTATACTATAGCCTCTAATCATTGTATACGTAACAGCCTCTAATCATTGTACATAGAATAAAATGATGAGAATTTATATAACAGCCTCTAATCATTGTATATGTATAATCATTGTACATATAATCGTCTTTGTCTGGCACAGATTTTTAGGATATTTGATTTTTCCAGTATTTAAGGAGAGATTGATATGCATAAGACGGGATGTGTAACTTGTCGGATCAACAGCGTATCGGATTTTCCATGGAAGATGCAGTGGTTAGTAGGTGAGTAGAATGTAAACATACTGGGCCAAGATTAAAAAAAAAAATGGATGAAGAAAGAATCTAAATTAGTGTAAAGGAAATAAATGTTAAACTTCAAGAAATGCATATTAACTGAGGATTTTAATAACAATTGAACTTACAGGGTTATTATTTGAAGTGTGAGAAGATGTAAGCTATGGGAAAGGTAAGGCCGAATTTCATATGCTGTGCTAGAGATTTGTGACTTTATCCTGTCCTGGGAGACAAGTCTGTGTGCATCTTTTGCATTCCATTACATCTTACAAGAGGAGGCACTCACTGCTTTTGTTCCAAATTGTGTTCCAAGTGTGTATACAGAAGAATAGTGGCTACCAAAAAAATAGAAGAAACAGTCAGAGAGGGATGAAATACAGAAGATATGGCAGGAAAAAGAAAAACAAAGAAAAATATTTAAAGTTTTTCAAAGTAAATTATCAACAGTGACAAATGCTTTATAGATCAAGTAGCTTGAAAACTAAGTGAGCCAATCCATTTCAGTAATTAGGAAATTACTAGTGATCAGAGTCATTTTAGTGGTAACTGGATTGAAGTAGATTGAGGAGTAAGTTTGCAGTAAAAAATGAGAGACAAACAACTAGAGCAATGCTTTAATAAAATTAGACAGGCTAGTGGTTAAAAAGGGACCCATGCTGGAGGTAAATTTGTTTAAGATGAAAAAAAAATAGAACATGACTTTATGCTACAGCAAAACAACCTTGAGAAATTTGGAAATATATGACAGGAGATAATCAATGGGTCAATACTTCGTAGAGATAGAGTTCTCTGAAATTGGAAGAAAAAGTGGACATAAGTAAAAAAAGAGTATGTGGGTGTTGTCACATGATATTGAGGAATTCCGGATGTAGAAACCAAATTCAGCTAACAGGAGAGTTAGGATAGTATTGGATATGAAATTTGAGGACTGTGTTATGAAATTGTGTCTTGTGGTTTTGTGCTAAAGCTAAGTCACAGTGATCCATGACAATGATTAAAAACATTTTGCCATTTGTATTCCAAAGACTCCCTGAATTGATAATAATATTGGAGCAGTGAAGGAATAATATAAAATATTCATTAAGGCTATTAAAGAATATTCTTAGGCCGGAAAAAAGGGAAATCAACAATAAAACTATTTCCTTAATCTCTTTTCTAACCCTAGCATTTTATAAATACATAAAAACCCTGTAGAAGAGTAAGAAAGGGTAACCACTTCTGAGAAAGTGACTCCGGAGGCACACATTTTTGATAAGTCCAGTTAATTGCCCAGAAGTTCCTCCAGGCCAAAAGCAATGAATCGGTGAACATTTGTGTAGGGATGGCAGTGCCAATTCCCTTTGGCTATAAAAAGTTTATTGGAATTGATTATTTAAATCTCTTTTCAGCTAAGAGCATGTATGGTTTAACCTAGATTATTCCTTTTATTATAGTTCTGTGTACTTTTCAGGTCTGTATTCACTACTGAATTGTATGCTACCTTAAGGCAAAAAGTAGGTGTTACTCATTCTTTTCTTCAGTCCAGAGTCTCTCTCTCTCTCTCTTTCTCTCTCTATAGATAGATAGATAGATAGATAGATAGATAGATAGATAGATAGATAGATAGAGATATATAAAATGCATGCTCAATGCCTAAAATTATATACACATTAGTTTTAAAAAAGTGTTTGCTAAAGAAAAAAATGCATTGCACAAGGAAAAAGCACTCACTGTTAAATCGTCAGTATTTCTGCTTGAGAATAGAAAAGACAAAATTCCACTGAAGTGTGAGATTTAGTATATGCCCTCTGGTAATCCACTTTCCACTTTCAGAAATAATTGAGATGAATCTAAGAGAAAGATCTTAAAGTGGCCCTGAAGGAGTTTACAGCTTTGCCCTCTTTACCATGAAATACTGTAGTTTTTAGCCAATATCACATACACTACATGGAATGTATATAGAATTTGACATTTCTTTAGTTGTCCTACAAGTCCATCATCATCTGAAAGAAACAATAAAATAGTTGAAACACAATTCTTATGAGATACCAATGATCCTGGCATTTTGAGCAATTATAAGTAATTAATGACATTATCTCTCAAATGCTTTGTACAGTTTTTGGTACAAGACGAGTATGGAATAAATATAAACTTTTGTGTTAGTTTGCTAGGTGACTTACAGAAACAGAGATTTGTTTTCTCACAGTTCTGGAGGCTGGGCCTTCAAGAGCAATGCACCATGTTGGTAGGCTTCTCTCACTGGCTTGCATATGGCTGCCTTCTCCCTGTGTCTTCACGTGCCTTTTCTTTGTGCATTCCTTGTGTCTCTCTCTATCTTCTTATGATGACATTGTGATTTAGGTCCCCACCCTAAGGTCCACAGTTTATATTAATCACCTCTTCGATGACCTTATCTCTAAACATTCACATAGATCAGTGCTCACCCTTATGAGTTCATTTAGTCTTAATCACCTCTTTAAAGTGCTTAACTCCAAATATAGTTACATTTCCAGGTACCAGAAGTTGACACTTCAATTTATGGATTTTGGAGGGCTGGGTCATGTCCCTCCAAAATTCATATATTGAAGTGCCAGCTTCAATATTAAATATAAAAATAATAATGTTAGTAATTATAACATTATTAATAACATCATTATTTTATTATAATAATTATTAAATTATAGTATATTATTAAAATATAAAATACTAAAATAATAATAATTTTACTAATATTCAAATAGCTTAGCAAAATTACCATTCTTTTGTTAGAGTCAGGTGGTAAACTTCTACAATTTTCTTTAAATATCAAGTTTTTTTTATTGTATATTCTTTTGTAAGAAATTACCTTGAAACTTAATAACTTGAAATCAAACTTGTTTTCTTCACAATTTTGCATGTCAGGAATGTGAGAATAGTTTGGCTGAGCAGATAATCTTTGGTCAATGTTGAGTCAGTTGGATTGGCCTGGCCTGAAGAGTTAATTTCTAGAACAGCTGGTGAACACATAACTAGTCTCTTTGACCACCCTCTCTAAACCTCTCCAAAGATGTCTCAACCTCCAGGGTCTTTCCTCATGACCTGAGAATTTTTTTTTTTTTTGTGGGGGGGGGGGGTTGTTTGTTTTCTTTTCACAACATGGTGATCACAGGTTAGCTCACTTTTTTTTTTTTTTTTTTTTTTTTTTTTGAGGCGGAGTCTTGCTCTGTCGCCCAGGCTGGAGTGCAGTGGCAAGATCTTGGCTCACTGCAACCTCCACCTCCCAGGTTCAAGCAATTCTTCTGCCTCAGCCTCCCGAGTAGGTGGGATTACAGACGCCCGCCACCACACCCAGCTAATTTTTGTATTTTTAGTAGACTAGCTCACTTTCTTACATGGCAGCTTCGGGTCACCACAGCTTTTCCATAGTCCAGATGCAGGTGCCTGCAGCGGAAGCCGTGTGCAGTACATCCGGTTCAGCAGGAGCCTTGCACGCAGCCGGCACGTGTGCAGGCACCTGGAGCTGCCCTCCCCACTGTGCTAGCCGGTGTGCGTGGCTGTGCACGGTGGCCGGAGCCCGTGATTGTTCTCCCACACACCCCGCGCCGCTCCTCGAGGGGCTCATCCTCAGCAGGTGCGGAGTCCAGGCCAGTATCATCAGCAGAGCACAGCCTGCTGGGCCGGCCGAGGGGGTGGAACAAACTCAGTGGGTGTGAGCAATACTCAGACAGAACGTGCCACCGGCCACATGGGATCCTGTTACATTACCAAGCATTATTTACTTATCAACAAAATGTAATTGCAAATCTGTGTCCACAGAATATCCCATATGATATCACACAAAGTAACTTAAATAGCCACAACCCCTGCCTTCTGGAATTGTACAATATAGAGCAGAAAACAGACTGCTACAATGGCATTAAATAAAAACCAAAGCACTGAATGTTTGCATTCCGTGCAAGAAAATGAAATCAAGCATGACTTGCATGTCTTCATTACATTTTTATCAAACTTTTACTGGCAAGTAGTAATACTGATTAATCTCAGACATAAATTTAACATGTATTTTATGTATCATTGTAGTACAAAGGCTAGCAATCTACAAAATGCTCATACTCCACAAAGCATGAGAGAAACTACAGGCTAGATATTAATTGAAATTATGGATTGGCTTTGTGTGAGTAACATTTTTATGTATCATTTTCCTAGAGATTAAAGTATTACAGAAATGTTATTACAGGCATTGAAAACTTGATAACACCTTTCTTCATTTTACATAGTGCAACTTGAAAGTGTGGAATAAATATATTTGGGGGAGGAATAAATATATATATCAGTCCTGTATCTGAGATTTGTTTTGCAAAGTTATTCTCCCAATCTTTTCATTTTTCTAAATGCTGTTATTTCAATTTAATTATGGAAAAAAATTTTGTTTTGTTTTAAGGTAAGATACTCATTTCCATAATTCATGATCTTTTATTGTTTAGAGGCAGATGGCTCAAGTATCAAGCAAAGTTTACTTTAGAAAGGCCAAACAATTCTTATTTTAGCATATACTCAAAATAACAGAATGAAAATATCCCTATTTATTGGTGTCATGTACAACCCAGAAAATTTCTAAATCTCATTTCCATAAGAAATGCACGCACACAAATAGTTCTATATCACATAAGACTGTTCAGAATTTCTCTACCCTACACCATAGATCACAGTTTAAAAATTTTTTTCTCATATAATGTGATCATATAATAACAGGATATCAGAAATTTTTAAAAATGCCTACCATACATATGTGAGTTTTGTCTTTTAAAGGGAAAAATAATTGAATAACTGTCTGGATTTCTTGTTTTGACATTATGTCAAAAAATTTCTCTATTTTTTTTTTTTTTTTTTTTTTTTGAGACGGAGTCTCGTTCTGTCGCCCAGGCTGGAGTGCAGTGGCGGGATCTCGGCTCACTGCAAGCTCCGCCTCCCGGGTTCACGCCATTCTCCTGCCTCAGCCTCCCAAGTAGCTGGGACTACAGGCGCCCGCCACTACGCCCGGCTAATTTTTTGTATTTTTAGTAGAGACGGGGTTTCACTGTTTTTTTAGCCGGGATGGTCTCGATCTCCTGACCTCGTGATCCGCCCGCCTCGGCCTCCCAAAGTGCTGGGATTACAGGCGTGAGCCACCGCGCCCGGCCAAAATTTCTCTATTTTTTATCTGAGAGTTTTAAATTGGTGAAAATTGTTTTTCTGTAGAGAAACGTACCCATTTTGTTATTAATTCTCTGCTTGAGCATTGGAATTTTATTTTAGTTTGTTATAGTGACATTTGATTTAATAGAAATGGGGTATTCAGTACTAAAATTGCTTTTAGATAAAGTAGATATGAAAAAACAGTATGGAAAAGATTTTTTTATCTGTAATAGAAAAAGTTCAATTGATTTAATTACATATTCCAAGTGAAAATGTACATTTTTCACGAAAATGTGCTTTAAAGTTCTTGTATATAATACAATATTAGTCAACAAGAAATGGTAGCTAAATATGATACAAATTAACATTCATGTGTGTAGCCTACTCTATAAACAGTCACAGGCCAATTAGTGTGGTAGGATTTTTCATCTTTTCTTTCTTTTTAAATGTTATATTAGAAATATTTTAGACATATAGAAAATAAAACAAATGGCATAATGAACCTTCATTTACACAAGTGTTATCAACGCACGGCCAAACTTCTCCATGCAGCATCCCAACCATTTCCCACCGTCACCATTTTAGCACCAGATTCTTTTAACACAAAGTCTCGATAACATATCATATATTAAAGGCAATATTATATCCCCTTTAAAACATATATGCATGGCTTTTAAACCCTTAGTATCATTAAACAGCCAGTGTTCATATTTACCTGAATAATATGTAAATTTTTCAATTCCTAATTTTTTAGTTTCACGAAGTCATAAGGATATAAATTTTTATTTTCTGAGATCTTCCTACTTTTATCCGAATCTAGCCTTGTCATTGAGTTTATTGTCCCTGTTTTGTTCTGTTTGGATTTCACTCTCAGCAGTTTCTCTTTAGTGCAAGCTTTTACCCTTGAGTGGTGCTTAGGTTAGTTATTTAGATTCTGAAAGAGCTCCATTCCTAAGGATTTCCAATAGTCCCCAGACACTCACTGTAAATTGTAGTCTGTGATACTCCTGTTTAATTCCTGCTGATGTTCTTAGATTTTTCTGCAGTATGTGTTAGCAATATGTGGGCTTCTTGGATCCAAAGATTACGACATGTTTCTTTCCTCATTTTTTCTAGCCCAAACTCTTGTATCAAGAGATTCTTAAGACTGCGGTGGCTAGTTCCTACCCATTCGTATTTTGAGGTTTATGGGAATATATTGTTATGCAATGCATTAGTTTGTTCCATCACAAATTAATATCTTCTAGTCTGGAGTTCAGAAGTCCAAAATCATTTTAGGTGTGCTAAAATGTAAAGA
Source organism: Homo sapiens (assembly GCF_000001405.40). NCBI lineage: Eukaryota > Metazoa > Chordata > Mammalia > Primates > Hominidae > Homo > Homo sapiens. Next base: position 27,520,892 of record NC_000005.10, on the reverse strand, counting down.
TGTCAGCTGGGATGTGTCCTCCTGGAGGCCCTGGGGGAGAATCTATTTCCTTTTCTTCCGTTGTTTTCCTTGGCCTTCTAGAGGCTGCCTGCATTCCTCAAACTCATGATCTGTTTTTCACAAAACTACAAGTTTTTGTCTCTTTGGCACATTTCCCATTTCTCAAGTCTCCCCTGCTGAACTTTTATAAACTCACATGTGATTACATTTCGGGCCTGTGATGGTTAATATTGAGTGTCAACTTGATCAGATTGAAGGATGAAAAGTATTGATCCTGGGTGTGTCTGTGAGGGTATTGCCAAATTAGATTAACATTTGAGTCAGTGGGGTCGGGAAGGCAGACCCACCCTTGATCTGGTGGGCACAATCTAATCAGCTGCTGATGGATATAAAGCAGGCAGAAAAATGTGAAAAGGCGACACTGGCTGAGCCTCCCAGCCTACATCTCTCTCCCATGCTGGATGCTTCCTGCCCTCAAATATCAGACTCAAAGTTCTTCAGTTTTGAGACTTGGAATAGCTCTCCTTGCTCCTCAAGCTTGCAGAAAGCCTATTGTGGGACCTTGTGATTGTGTAAGTTAATGCTTAATAAACTTCCATATATATAATAAACTCATATAAGAGGAGATATATATATATATATATATATATATATATATATATATATATATATATATATATCCTCTTAGTTCTGTCCCTCTAGAGAACTCTGATTAATACAAGGTTTGGCACCAGGAGTGGCTCTAGAGGAATAGAATATTAAGGATGGAGCTCTTCCATTGGTTTTGGGGTTTCTGGCATTGGCTTCTCAATATGATTTGACCCCAAAATGCTAAGCACTCTACTTCTAATAGTATGGAGAACAGTGATAGTCCTTGTCATGAACTGTTTAGAGAGTTATGCAAGATAAATTCATCTGATACTCCGGATTCACCTCTTGTGAGGGGCAAGGAGTTTAGTGACTCTATACATAATACTTTTGACCATATGTGGAGAACCAAGGAGCATAATTGAAGCTGGTTGGTTGCTCCTAAGTTCAGTGGACAAAGTGATGAAAGAGAATGGTGAACTCAGGGATTCTGTCTCCCACCTACAGAAGCAGATGCTGAGCCTCAAATCTGCCACGACTGCCCTGAGTGAGAGTCTTATCTCCTGTAGAGAAAAAGCTGAAATTGTGGAAAAACAGCCACAAGCTCTTATCATGCAAGTGGCTGACTTGCAATGAAAGGTGCCTGCACAGCCTCACCAGGTGTCTACTGTTAAGGTGAGGGCAGTGATTGGAAAAGAATGGGACCCTGCAACTTGGAATGGAGACATGTGGGAGGACTCAAATGAAGCTGGGGAACCTGAGATTGTAAACCCTGATGAACCGTTTTTGCTAGAAGAAACAGCTTCCCCATTCTCAGTAGTGACAACAATCCCTCCCTGACCCATGCTGCCATCAGCCTTTCCACTTTTGTCTGAGGAGATAAACCCTGCACTTCCTGAGACAACAGTGATGGCCTCCCCTGAGGCAGTTGCCAGGCAAAATAATGTTGATTCTCCTCAGATGCCACCCCAAACAACCCTATTTGCTTCTAGACCTATACCTAAAGTCTCAGTGTGCTCCTAGAGGTGAGATTGAGAGTGTGATCCATGAGGTGCTGTGCAACAGTAGAAACGAACTGCTTGAGTTATCCAATTCATATAAACAAAAATCTAGAGAACCAGTATGGGAATGGATATTAAGGGCATGGGATAATGGAGGAAGGAACAAGAAGTTGGATCAGGCTGAATTTATTGATTTGGGCCCACTAAGTAAGGACTCTGCATTTAATGTTGCAGCTTGGGGAATTACAAAGGTTTTAATAATTTATTGGCTTTGTTAGCTGAAATATGGATTAAAAGATGGCCCACTATGAGTGAGCTGGAAATGCCTGATCTCCCTTGGTTTAATGTAGAGGAAAGGATTCAAAGGCTTAGGGAGATTGGGATGGTGGAGTGAATTAGTCACTTTAGACCTACTCATCCAGGCTGGGAGGGTCCAGAAGATATATCCTTGACCAATCCCTTGTGACATAGATTTGTGAAGGCAGCACCTGCCTCTTTGAAGAGCCCCGTAATTGCTCTTCTCTGTATGTCAGACGTAACAGTGGGAACCACAGGCACTCAACTACAAAATTTGTATACAATGGGACTATATTGGATGCCGAGGTGGCAGGTACCAAGTGGAGACACTAAACCATCAAAGGCAAGGTGGGTACAGCTACAGTAATGGACAGCGAAGACAAGACAGCAATCAGAATAGCCTGATTCATGTAAAGCTCTGGCCTTGGCTAATCAATCATAGTGTTCCTACAAGTGAAATTGATAAGAAGCCTACTGCATTGCTACTTAATTTTTAAAAGAAAGCCTGCAAGTCGAATGGAAAAAAGACTACTTTGAATTATAAAAACAGAGAATCACAGCCTTTCAATCAATTTCCTGACTTGAGCCAGTTTCTAGACTCAGAACACCTTGAATGAAGAGAAGCCAAGTCCCCTTGAGGAAGGACCCCACTACATTACTGACAATTTATGCAGTGCATCTCTTTCCCATTCTTCCCCAAGGAGGCCTCCAGTCTTTTATCAGGGTAACTGTGCATTGGGGAAAGTGAAATGATCAGACATTTTGAGGGCTACTGGACACTGCCTCTGAGCTGACATTGATTCCAGGGGACCCAAAACATCACTGTGGTCCTCCAGTTAATGTAGGGGCTTATGGAGTTCAGGTAATTAATGGATTTTTAGCTCAGGTCCAACTTACAGTGGGTCCAGTGGGTTCCCAGACCGATTCTGTGGTAGTTTCCCCAGTGCCAGAATGCATAATTGTCATAGACATACTTAGCAGCTGGCAGAACCCCCACATTGACTCCCTGACTGGTAGCATGAGGGCTATTATGGTGGGAAAGGCCAAATGGAAGCCATTAGAGCTGTCTCTACCTAGAAAAATAGTAAATCAAAAACAATATCGCATCCCTGGAGGGATTGTGGAGATTAGTGCCACCGTCAAGAGCTTGAAAGATGCAGGGGCGGTGATTCCCACCACATTCCCATTCAACTCTCTCATTTGGTCTGTGCAGAAGACAGATAGATTTTGGAAAATGACAGTGGGTTATTGTAAGCTTAACCAAGTGGTTACTCCAATTGCAACTGCTATACCAGATGTCATTTCATTGCTTGAGCAAATTAGCACATCTCCTGATACCTGGTATGCAGCCATTGACTCCGCAAATGCCTTTTTCTCTACTCCTGTCCATAAAGGCCCATTAGAAGCAATTTGCCTTCAGCTGGCAAGTCCTGCAGTATACTTTTACTGTCCTACCTCAATGGTATATCAGCTCTCTGGCTTAGTGTCATAATCTCATTCAAAGACCTTGATCATTTTTCCCTTCTGCAAAATATCACCCTGGTTCATTACATTGATGACATCATGCTGATTGGATCCAGTGAGCAAGCAATAGCAAACACATTGTACTTATTGGTGAGACATTTGCTTGACAGAGGATGAAAAATAAATTCAATGAAAATTCAGGAAACTTCTACCTCAGTAAAATTTCTAGGGATTCAGTGGTGTGGGGCCTGTCAAGATAGAGATATTACTTGTAAGGTGAAGGATAAGTTGCTGCATTTGGCCCCTCCTACCAAGAAAGAGGCACAATGCCTAGTGGGCCTATTTGGATTTTAGAGGGAACACATTCCTCATTTGGGTGTGTTACTCCAAGCCACTGACCGAGTGACCCTAAAGGCTGCCAGTTTTGAGTGGGGTCCAGAAGAGGAAGCTCTGCAATAGGTCCAGGCTGCTGTGCTAACTGCTCTGCCACTTGGGCCATATGACCCAGCAGATCCAATGGTGTTTGAGGTGTTAGTGGAAGATAGGGATGCTGTTTGGAACCTTTGGCAGGCCACCATAGGTGAATCACAGTGGAGGCCTCTAAGATTTTGGAGCAAGGCCATGCTATCTTCTTTAGATAAATACTATCCTTTTGAGAGACAGATCTAGGCCTGTTACTGGGCTTTGGTGGAAACAAAACGTTTGACTATGGGTCATCAAGTCACCATGCAACCTAAACTACCTATCATGAACTAGGTGCTTTCTGACCCATCTTGCCGTAAAGTGGGTCATGCACAGGAGCTTTCCATCATCAAATGAAAGTGGTATATACATGAATGGGCTCTAGCAGATCCTGAAGGCACAAGTAAGTTACATGAGGAAGTGACTCAGATGCATGTGGTCTCCACTCCTGCCACCCTGCCTTCTCTCCCACAGCCTGCACCGATGGTCTCATGGGGAGTTCCCTATGTTCAATTCACAGAGGAAGAGAAGACTAGGGCCTGGTTCACAGATGGGTGCTCATGATACACAGGTACCACCAGAAAGTGGACAACTGCAGCACTGCAATCCCTTTCTAGGACATCCCTAAAGCACAGTGGTGAAGGCAAATCTTCCCAGTGGGCAGAACTTCGAGCAGTGCACCTGGTTGTGCACTCTCCGTGGAAGGAGAAATGGCCAGATGTGTGATTATATGTTGATTCATGGGCTGTAACCAATGGTTTGGCTGGATTGTCAAGGATCTGAATAAAGCATGATAGGAAAATTGGTGACAAAGAAATTTGGGGAAGAGGTATGTGAATGTACCTCTCTGAGTGGTCAAAAACTGTAAAGATATTTCTATCCCATGTGAGTGCTTGCCAATGGGTGACCTCAGCAGTGGAGGATTTTAATAATCAAGTGGATAGGATGACCTGTTCTGTGGACACCACTCAGCCTCTTTCCCCTGCCACCCGTGTCGTAACCCATGGGCCCATGAATAAAGTGACCATGGTGACAGGGATGGAGGTTACCTATGGGCTCAGCAACGTGGACTTCTACTCACCAAGGCTCACCTGGCTATGGCCTCTGCTGAGTGCCCAATTTGCCAGCAGCAGAGACCAACACGGAGGCCTACATATGGCACCATTCCTCGGGGTGATCAGCCAGCTGCCTGTTGGCAGGTTGATTATATTGGACCTCTTCCATCATACAAAGGGCAATATTTTTCCTCACTGGAATAAACACTGATTCTGGATGTGGGTTTGCCTATCCTGCACGCAATGCTTCTGCCAAGACTACCATCCATGGACTCATGGAATGCCTTATCCAACATCATGGTATTCCATACAGCATTGCCTCTGACCAAGGCACTCACTTTATGGCTAAAGCAGTGTGGCAGTGGGCTCATGCTCATGGAATTCACTGGTCTTACCATATTGCCCATCATCCTGAAGCAGCTGGATTAATAGAACAGTGGAATGGCCTTTTGAAGTAACAGTTACAATGCCAACTAGGTAACAATACTTTATAGGGCTGGGGCAAAGTTCTCCAGGAGGCCATGCATGCTCTGAATCAGCATCCAATATATGGTACTCTTTCTCTCATATCCAAGATAAACGGGTCCAGGAATCAACAGGTGGAAGTGGAAGTGGTACCATTCACCATCACTCCAAGTGATCCACTAGCAAAATTATTGCTTCCTGTTCCCATGACATTATGTTCTGCTGGCCTAGAGGTCTTTGTTCCAGAGGGAAGAATGCTGACACAGGAGACACAACAATGATTCCATTAAACTGGAAGCTCAGACTGCCACCCGGAGAGTTTAGGCTCCTCCTACCTTTAAGTCAACAGGCTAAGAAGGGAGTTAAAATGTTGGCTGGGGTGATTGACCTGGATGATCAAGAAGAAATCAATTTACTACTCCATAACGGAGGTAAAAGAGTGTGCATGGAATACAGGAGCTCCATTAGGGTGTCTCTTAGTATTACCATGCCCTGTGATTAAGATCAATGGGAAACTACAATAGCCCAATCCAGGCAGGACTACAAATGGTCCAGACTCCTTGGGCATGAAGGCTTGGGTCACTCCACCAGGAAGAAAGCCACGACTTGCTGAGGTGCTTGCTAAAGTCAAAGGGAATACAGAATGGGTAGTAGAAGAAGGTAGTCATCAATACCAGCTACAACCATGTGATCAGCTGCAGAAACGAGAAAGATATGGGTATTTCATCCTTCTTTTGCTAAAAATATGCTTGTGAAAGTATACAATCGTATTAAGAAAATATCTTCATTTTATTTCCTTTTATTTGATCATGTGACATAAGTTTTATTGACTTCATATTAGCATTTAGTATTGTTAATTTTATGTAATAGTGTTTGGATTGGGGATTGGTGCGTTTCTGGTTGTACAAATGACAGTTGTATTATATTAGGCATAATTATGACCTTATTATTGTCTTTATTTGAAGATTATCTACAGTCTCAGCAGATACGTTTGGGTTCAAGTTGACAAGTGGTGGACTTGTGATGATTAATACTGAGTGTCAACGTGATTGGATTGAAGGATGCTAAGTATTGATCCTGGGTGTGTCTGTGAGGGTGTTCCCAAAGGAGATTAACATTAGGGTCAGTGGGCTGGGGAAGGCAGACCCACCCTTGATCTGGTGGGCACAATCTAATCAGCTGATAGTGAATATAAAGCAAGCAGAAAAATGGGAAAAGGCAAGACTGGCCTAACTTCCCAGCCTACATGTTTCTCTTGTGCTGAATGCTTCCTGCCCTCAAACATCAGACTCCAAGTTCTTCAGTTTTGAGACTCGGACTGGCTCTCCTTGCTCCTCAAGCTTGCAGATGGCCTATTGTGGGACCTTGTGATCATGTAAGTTAATACTTAATACACTCCCCAGATATATGTACATATATATGTATGTATTTTATATGTAGGCAATTTTGCTTAGTAAGTCTTATTTTCACATTGTTAATAATAACAAGTGTTTTTCTGGGCACCTAGGAAATACCATTTGTTTAAAAGCCAAAAGTTAGTATCTATATTCTTATTTATCTTTCAGGTTAAGTATTTTCTCTATTGCAAATTAGCCACAAAATTATAGCAAGTAAAACATTTTGTACACTGAACAGTAGACCTGAAGAGTATATTTCTAGATAGGATAAAAGAACTTGTTTAAAACAAGGTCACAGAAATCCACTCCTATGTTTTGTTTTAGAAATGTAATTATTTAAGCTCTTACCTGTAGATCAGTTATGCATTTTTAGTTAATTTTTGTATGTGGTCTGAGGTAAGGGTCCAACACCATTATTTTGCATATAGATATCTGTTTTATTCAGCATCAGTTTTTTTGAAGGCAATTCTTCCTACATTAAATTGTCATGTCTCTCTTGCTGAAAATCAAGCTATAAGCATAAGGGTTAATTTCTGGACCCTCAATTTCATTTCACTGATTTTATTTCTTTTTCTTATGTCAGTACAACACTCACTCAAATAGTGTAGCTTTGTATTAAGTTTTGAAATCATGAAATGTAAGTTCTCTTATGTTATTCTTTTTCACAAGTGGTTTGGCTTTTGGGGGTTCCTTGCTTTTTTACATGAAACTAAGCCCAGTTTATGAATTTCTACAAAAACTTTAGATTTTAAGTGGCAGATGTACTACTCTTCCTTTCACTTGAACATTAGAGGCAATTATATTTTTCATCATTGGCCAACTTTCAACATTTTTTATCTCAAGAAATAAAGAGGCCTGAGGAGAGGAAGAGAGATGGGGGGATGACCGATATGCAGGAGTCAACACACACAACATGTGTCAATTAAGTTCTCCCTCTTATATGGGTACAGTTTGTGGTACCCCAAAACAATTACAATAGAAACATTAAAGATCACTGATCACATATCATAATGACAGACAGATTAATAATTTTAAATGTTTGAAGTCTTATGAGAATTACCAAAGTCTGAAACAGAGATGTGAAGTCAGCACATGTTGTTGAAAAAATAGCATTAATATACTTGTTCAATGCAAGGTTGCTACAAACTTTCAATATGTAAAAAATGCAATATCTACAAAGTGCAATAAAATGAAGTATGCCTGTACAGGTTTATGTTATCTGTAATTAGATATCATTTTACTTCTTCATTTCCACAATGTATGTTTTGATTTATTTCATTTTCTTACTCAATTGCCCATGCTAGAACCTCCAATGCAAGATGGGAGAGAGATGATGAGAGCAAATATCACAATTCTAGTGAAAATCATTTAATTTTTTACGATTAAATATCATGTTAGCAGTGGGTTTTTAGTAGATGGCCTTTATCAGATTGAGGAAAATCCTTTCTCTTTCTAGTTTGATGAGTTTTAATTATGTGTAGATGCTGGACTTTGTCAAATGCTTTCACATCTATTGAGATACCCATGTAATTTTATCCTTTATTGTATTTATATGGTATATTACATTTACCAATTTTCCTGTTTAAAAAACAATTTAACATTCCTGGGATAAGCTCACATGGTTATAGTGTATAATCCTTTCTGTATGCTGCTGGATTTGGTTTGCTAGTATTTGTTGAGAATTTTGGTCTGTAGTCATAAGTTATATTGGTTTGTAGTTTTCTTGCAATGGCTTTATTTTGTTTGAATCACAGGGTAACAGTGGCTTCATGGAATTAGTTCAGTATTCCCTTCTCTTATATTTTCTAGGAGAATTTTTGAAGGGTCGGTGTTAACTCTTCCTTAAACATTTGAGAGAATTCGTAAATGAAGCCATCTAGACATGGACTTTTCTTTATGGGAAGTTTTTAAATTGATAAATAAATATTTTAACTGTACATTTATTCAGATTTTTTGTTTCTTTTTTTTTTTTTTTTTTTTTTTTTTTGAGACAGAGTATCTCTCTGCTGCCAGCCTGGAGTGCAGCGGCGCAATCTCGGCTCACTGCAACCTCAGCCTCCCAGGTTCAAGTGATTCTCCTGCCTCAGCCTCCTGAGTAGCTGGGACTACAGGTGCACGCCACCACGTCTGGCTACTTTTTGTATTTTTAGTAGAGATGGGGTTTCACCATGTTGACCAGGATGGTCTCAATCTCTTGAACTTGTGATCCACCCACCTCGGCCTCCCAAAGTGCTGGGATTACAGGCATGAGCCACCGCACTCAGCCAGATTTTGTATTTCTTTTTCAGTCAATTTTGGTTTTGTAATTTTGTAGTCTGCTTCTGGATGCAACTTTCTTTTGGAAGTGAGTTCTGAAATTAGATAGCGATAATGCTTGTATAATTGTGTGAATATAATTTTTAAGTAAACACTGAATGATATACCTTAAAGGAGTAAACCTGTTATGTAAGTTGTATCTTAATAAAACTCTTATTAAATATATTAAACAATAATGCATTTTACATGAATTTAAAGTTGAAAACATTCCTTTATAAACTGTATGAACTTAGAGCATTTGGTATGTATGGTGATCCAGAATTACTAGGCTTATAATTATTGATGTATTTCTTGGAGAGGTGAAGTTACACACAATTAAAACTTTTAAGATATATTTAAATATCTGAAGACTCTTTTTGCAAATTTGCAGTTTATGAATGTACCCTTGAAATGTACATTATGCATTTGCTTTTACTTCTTAACAACTGTAGAGGTCTTGGCAGTGAATCACGTTTAAGAAGCTCTAAGATGTCTTACCAAACCGTGAATGATTTACTTGTAAAAGAATGACATTTAACTATGCACCTTTCAAGGGTCCCCAGTGTAAAATGAAACATAGTGTTCTTTGTTGATCTTACGTGATACCCTGTGGAGGTTAGTAAAAATTTATTATCTTTCTTGACTTAAAGAGGTATTTCTTATCTTAATGGTAAAGTGAAAGTAACATACTTCATATGGGTTATAAAAAATATTAACCTTTTTTTTACCCTTAAGGAATTATAGTCAGCCATAAACTCTGTAAAAAGGATGAGATCATTACTTAGATTGGGAGCATTTCAAGATGAGAGAAGATAAGAAAATGTGAATGTCAAGATTTTTTGAAAAGTTAACATTTAATTGCACACTTTACAAAAGTATATATTAAGAAGTCAATATGTTTGATCAAATAAAAGATAAAGTAATTTTTTACACTTTTCTTGGAAAAAAGAAATAGAGGAATTATAAAATAATTTTTGCGATTATAATACCATGATATATAAAGGCCCAAACATATACAAGATTTGGCCATTAATGAAGTTAAGTAAATGTATAAATTTTAAGTGTCTATGTAAGCTTTAAACTTAAAAGCATTTCAACCTATATAGAATCTAATTTTATTTTATCGAATGATAATGCAGTGCCATAAGTGAATAATATGATACTCTTTTATTTTTTAATCTAAAAAGCCATCCAGCTTTATTGAGATAAAATTGGTGAACCAAATTGGATATATTTAAAATGTACAAAATGATGTTTTTATATATGTACACATTGTGAAATGATTATCATAATCAAGCTAATTAACATATCCATCACGTTTCATAGCTAACATTGTTTTGTGTGTGGTGGGATAATTAGAAATCTACTCTCTCAGCAATTTCAAGTGTACAATACAAAACTATGAACTACAGTCATGGCTGGATGTGGTGGTTCATGCCTATAATCCCAGCAATCTGGGAGGCCAGGGCGGGAGGATTCCTTGAGCCAAGAAGTTTCAGACCAGCCTGGGCAACATTGCCCTGTCTCTTCAAAAGGAAAAAAAAAAAAAAAGTTTCACTGTAGTCATTTTGCTATACATTAGATCTCCATGGCTCATTTATCTTGCACGACTAAAACTAGTATCCTTTGACCAACATTTCCCCATTTCCTTCATCTCCAGCCCCTGGCAGCCCCATTCTACTCTTTGCTTGTTTGAGTTTCACTTTTTGAACTCCACATATAAGTGAGGTTATGCAATATTGTCTTTTTTTACCTGGCTTATTTTATTTGGTTAAATATTCTCCAGGATTATCCTTGTCATTGCAACAACAATCTGCCACTCTTTTATTAATAATGATATAATTGTTAACATCACTATTATTACCATTATCAACAGAAGAAGCATCTCTAATATTTATTATATCTTCTATTCCAGCTCAATTATACATCCTTTGCTGTAGTAACATCTGATATTATATGCCACAGTTTTGTAAAGAAAGAAAACTATTTGGCCCTAGTTTAAGAGATGAGAAAAAGCAATGCACAGAAAGTATAAGTAATTTATATAATTCCACCCAGATAGCACATATTGGAATTAGCATTGAGCATTCAAATACATAGACTCTCATGTGGTGATTTGTCTTTTCACCATTTAACTTCTTTTAAAGCAAGTTTATGTCTTACTTACAAACTCATTGGCCTGGAAAGGAAAATCAGAAATTCTGGATTTTAATCTCAGCTCTTATTTCCTCTAGTTTTATTGCATGGGATAATCAGTTCTTTATCTATAAATGCATGTATATCACTATTACTTAAAAATATATTTCAGTTCATAAATTCTAGCTATGTCTCTCGTTTTCTACAAAAATATTCCCAACATTTTTACTTCTACAATCCAATTGACTTGTGATGTATTTCATAAGCTTCTACAGTCCCATAGAGAAAACTAAGTCTGAGACAAAATTAAGAAAGGATATTTATTCATAAAATTGCAGCAAGAGAACACATCTGCATCACTTTTGTTTCAGTGGATTTTAACGGTGTTAGAAATGAGAGTCAATTTTATAGAGTAAGGAGAGGAAATACCTAGACAGTCTCTTATTGATAAGTGCTCTCATAGTGTTGGGAAGCAAAAGGCACTTTCAAAGTGGTCTTCAGATATATTTGGCAATCCTTAATTAGCTGTAAAGGGGCAAGCAAGCAGTTGTGGGGCATTTCAAAAGAGAAAGGATCGCTCAGTATTACTGCAGAGTGTTTACTGTAGCTGTTCATTTCTTAGAGTAAGTGGGGATCGCTAGAATGCTTTTCTGTGGTCAAGCCACAATAATGGTCCTTAATTAGGGGAGAAGAGGCTGCCATGATAGGCAGTTTCTCATTAGAAAGACTTTGATTGCCGCCACATGTGGTGGCTCATGCCTGTAATCCCAACATTTTGGGAGGCCAATGCAGGCGGATCAAGTGAGGTCAGGAGTTCAACTCCAGCCTGGCCAACATGGTAAAACCCCGTCTCTACCAAAAAAAACACAAAAATTAGCTGGGCGTGGCACTCCTCTAATCCCAGCTACTTGGGAGGCTGAGGCAGAATAATTACTTGAACCCTGGAGGTGGAGGTTTCAGTGAGCCAAGATCGTGCCACTCACTCCAGCCAGGGAGACAGAGCAAGACCCTGTCTCGAAAAAAAAAAAAAAAATTGACTGCAAATTTATAAAAATACAACCATGAATAGGGGGCTTATTCTAATGGCACACATTTAAAGTGAAAATTAAAAATTAAATTATGAGATAGTTTTTAAATACAAGATTTTTTTAAAAAATGAATTATTTAAATCAGAATTTCTAAAACTTATGGTAACTTATATTTTAGAAACAGAAAGGTGGAATTTTTTTCCAGCTATGAATCTATACAAAACATATTTAATATTAACATACAAAAATATTCTTAGTGATATCATCATATATTTCTAATATCACTTGCTTTAAGGACTTCAGGCAAAAATAAGAGGACTGCTTGTTGGCTGGTTAATTTGGCTTGTTTTTCCTTCCTGTAACAATTTGTAAGTATTATTCAGGGTTTTTCTCTGGTCTTTATATATGACACGTAAATTTACTGTATAAGATATTGCGCAGTGGCTCACGCCTGTAATCTCAGCACTTTGGGAGGCCGAGGTTGGGGGATCACAAGGTCAAGAGATTGAGACCATCCTGGCCAACATGGCGAAACCCTGTCTCTACTAAAAATACAAAAAGTAGCTGGGTGTGGTGGTGCACGCCTGTAATCCCAGCTACTCGAGGGGCGGAGGCAGGAAAATCCCTTGAACCTGGGAGGCAGAGGTTGCAGTGAGCCGAGATTGTGCCACTGCACTCCAACCTGGAGACAGAGCGAGACTCCATCTCAAAAAAAAAAAAAAAAAAAAAAAAGGAGAAAGAAAAGAGATATTTTTGCTAGGTTTTAATAATTGAACACAAATTAATGATATTTCTTATTCGTGTTGTTACTGCCTTACAACTATTATCATAGTTTAATATTTGTGTATGTGCATGCATGAGTACCTGGACCTACAAACTAAGTCCATGAACTAAACCTGTCATGTTCCAGAGTACTAACACTGAACAAAAATTTCATTTTTTTTCCACCTAACTTTCTCATGTTTCTCATCTTACTCCTTTCTGTCACATCAGCTATAGAGATGAAAAGATCTCGCATGGATAACTATTTTAAGAATAAAATATTTGTGCCCTCATTTGTTCTTTTAAAAGTCAAACAAATATAGTTTGCAAATTGAAGTATTTAGAAAAAGTTATTTTCTGCTTTTTAATTGTTTGGTACTTTAAGTGTCGTGAAGATTTATCTTGCCTAATTTAGTTTCTTGCTGTATAATTTTCACCTTCAGGAGAATACACATTCAAGATATTACTGTTGGATTAAATCCTAGAAATTTTGATGAAGCAGTTGATTGTAGAAATGGAATGGTATCAACTCGTTAATCCATGCTACCTTAACAGCTATGTTGGAACTTTCCTTTTTTACAATAAGAAATCAATAAAAAGGGAAGTAATTCTTCCTAACAATTAAGGGATTCTAATTTTCAGCATTACAGATGATTATGGATGCAATTTTAGAAAATAAATTATTAAGGAATTTCATATATTTGCAGAAGTATGATCAAAATTACAACAAAAACTACTAAATGTGATTATTTAAATCCAAATATGCTCTACTGACTTGAATATCATATTGTGCTATTTATACATTTATTCTATCATTGTGAAAATTTGTATAATGATCTAACATTGGAAATTTTAACAAAAATAAAATATTAATCAAAGAATATTTTCAAGAACTCCCATATTTATGTTCACTCCAAGAATGTTATACTGAAATACTTTTAAACTATTCTGATCATTATATATTTATATAATCATAATATTTCTATATTCTAATTGAAATTTTTATTTAAATAACACTGAGAATTGAAATGTATGGGCTGCTATATGGATTTCACCACAATTTCCCTACCAACTACTTTTATTCATAAAATAAAATGAGACATACAATTACTGCATGAATATGAGACACACAATTACTGTTTTTAAGAATATGAGACATACAATTACTTTTCTTCTTGTGACTAATACATACAATATGCATATTTCTATTGTAACTTGACAGGCAAATTTGATAAATTAATATTTTTAACATAGAATGTAACAGTGATAAATATGAGATGCATATAAATTTTAGGTAAAAGAAATATTATACATCCAAATATAATTTTTTTTTTCAAGACAGAGTCTCACTCTGTCGCCCAGGCTGGAGTGCAGTGGCACTATCTCAGCTCACTGCAAGCTCTGCCTCCCAGGTTCAAGCGATTCTCCTTCCTCAGCCTCCAGAGTAGCTGGGACTACAGGCGCCCGCCACCAGGCTTGGCTAATTTTTTGAATTTTAGTAGAGACGGGGTTTCACCATGTTGCCCAGGCTGCTGGCGAACTCCTGAGCTCAGGCAATCCTCCTGCCTCGGCCTTCCAAATATAATATTTAAGGTTAAAAAATTGAACTATGAAAAATTGAAATGATAAGCTGGAACAAAAATTCTAGATGAGATTATAAGGTGACACAAAGCAGCAAATGAAAAGTGATTTTCTTTTAGCATAATGCAGTTTATAGGCAAAGTTATCCAAGCTAAATTAAAATTATTAAAACTTATGTGGCTTCCATATGTTAGATAAGAATTCTTGTAGTTACCCATATCATAAAAAGAAAACTAAGGCACAGAGAAACTAACTCACCGGCCAAAGTTCACATGGTTAGTTAATGGAAGAGCAGATAATTAATATTTGTAGGGTGTCTTTAAGGCCAACTCCTAAACAAAGTTAGATGAGCCTTTTCCAATATTTGGATTTAAGATGTTATAATTTGCCTGCATTTATTATTCTGAGTTTGTAGAATGATATTTTAGGACATGTTCTGATAAGATTGGAAAACTTTGGCAACATATTCTTATTTGAAAATTCATAAAACCATGTATAGAATAAACACTCTGTGATGCCTTGAGGTTAGGAAGTTGTTTATGTCAGCAAGTCCCAAATTTATTTCAACATGGAATGTTATTTTCATACAGTAAATGAAATAATGGTCCTTGGAGAAATAACACCAAAAATTACTTTTAAATTATTTGCACTCGTTTTTCCTTGCAAAAATGAAGAAGTAAAATATACAGAAAAATGCGTTTGTACTAGTAAATGTAAATATTATAGCAATGTTAGTGTTGAGAAGAGAGCTGTCATAGAAACTAACAGATGGATGGATGCATAGATTCATAGTATTGAAAATCATGAAAAAATAAGATTGAATGAAGTAGAATGGTAGAGTGCTTAATGTTACAAAGTGTTCAAATTTTTTCCACAAATGCAAGCTGGTTGTATCTAACTTTTAATTCCAAACGTGCTCAACACTAGTCTTTTTTTTTTTTTTTTTTTTTTTTGAGATAGGGTCTCATTCAGTCACCCAGGCTGGAGTACAGTGGCCCAGCCACAGCTCACTGCAGCCTCCACCTCCCGGGCTCAAGTGATCCTTTCACCTCAGCCTCAGCTGGGACTACAGGCATGCACCACCATGCCTAGCTAAAGTTTTTTTTTTTTTTTTTGTGGAGATGTTATTTTCCCATGTTTCTTAAGCTGGTCCAGAACTCCTGGGCTAAAGTGATTTGCCCACTTAGGCCTCCCAAAGTGGTGGAATTGCAAGCATCAGCCACTTCACCCAGACAACAGGAGTCTGTTAATATTCGATCCATAAAGTAAATTATTGTATTTTTGTTCTCATGATGTTTCCTTTAATTTATGACACATTCTCATACTTACATAATCACATTAATCTTAGACTTAATTAATATTTATATCTTCCCCATCACACCGAAAGTATTTTAAGAGGTTCCCATGTCTTTGTGGACTTCTCCACCCTTATCATATTGCTATATACAAAATGTAAACTCTAGGTTTTGGAGGATGTACTTTCCCTTTTTCATGAATATTTGTAACAATCGCATCTGAAATAAAATTTGTTTGGATATAAACTTGTGGGTTCAAAGGCAACTTCCTTTAAGAAAGAAATTATTTCTCAATTTTTTTTTTCCATTGGGAAATCTGATGTCTATCAGGAGATGATCTGCTTTTAGTGTCTGGAAACATCCAGAGATTTCTCAGTATCTTTATTGTTAGTCTTCAGTTTCATTGTGTTTACAGTTACGGATATTTCCCTTATCTTCTCTGTCAGGTGTTCCTTTAGTCTTTTGATATAAAGAGGTCTTTCACCTTTATTTAAGTTTTGAAATCCGGTGTATACATTTCTCTCTTGGTGGGAATTCTAGCATTCAGATTTTGGCATTTCAACTTCCAGCCTTTGTAAAACTTAGGTTTCATTTTCTACTTTCTTCTTTTTTTATGTTCTGTTGCTTTTTAAGAGAGGACCTCAATATGTTCCTTTAACTAACTGATGAATGTATTTTCAAATGGATCCAGTCAGCTCCTTATCCCATTTACTGTACTATGTTTCTCACATGCACTATTTCCATTTTATTCTTCCTAGTATTTTTTCTTATATTGATAGTGATATGGTTTGGTTCTGTGTCCACACCCTAATCTCATCTCAAAATGCCATCCCCACATGAGAGAGGGTCCTGTTGGGAGGTGATTGGATAATGGAGGCTGACTTTCCTCATGCTGTTCCCATAATAGTGAGTGAGTTCTCACCAGATCTTATGGTCTAAAAGTATTTGGCAGTTACCCCCTCACTCTGTCTCTCCTGCTGCCATGTAAGACGAGCCTTGCTTCCTCTTCACATTCCACCATAATTGTAAGTTTCCTGAAGCCTGCCAACCATTTGGAACTGTAAACCTTTTATTGTTTATAAATTACCCAGACTCAGGCAGATTTATTACACAGTGCAAAAACAGACTATACAAATAATTGGTACCGTGGAGGATGGGACACTGTTATAAAGACACTTCAAAATGTGGAACCAACGTTGGAACTGGGTAACAGGCACAGATGAAACACTTTGGAGAGTGAAGAAGAAGATAGAAAGATGTAGGAAAGTTTGGAACTTCCTAGAGACTTATCGAATGATTTTGACCAACATCCTAATGGTGACATGGACAATGAAGTCCAGGCTGAGGTGGTCTCAGATGGAGATGAGGAACTTCTTGGGAAATAGAATAAAGGTCACTCTTGCTATGTTTTTGCAAAGAGACTGGTGGCATTTTGCCCCTACCCTAGAGATCTATGGAACTTTGAACTCGAGAGAGGTGACTTAGGGTATCTGGTGGAAGAAATTTCCAGGCAGGAAAGTCTTCAAGTTGACTAGGCTTTATCTAAAAGTTTACTCCCATATGCATGAACAAAGAGGTTAGCTGAAACTGGAATTTACGTTTAAAAGGGAAGCAGAGCATAAAAGTTCAGAAAATTTGTAGTCTGACCATGTGGTAGAAAAGAAAAACCCATTTTCTGGGGAGAAATTCAAGCCCACTTCAGAAATGTTCATAAGTAAAGAGAAGCTGAATGTTAATAGCTAAGAAAATGGGGAAAATGTTTCCAGGGCATGTCAAAGATGTTTACCAAAGCCCCTCCCATCATAGTCCGGGAGGCCTAAATAATTTCATGGGCCAAGCCCAGGGCCCTGCTGCTGCTCCATGCAGACTCGGGACTTGGTGTTTGCATCCCAGCCACTCCAGCTCCAGCTGTGGCTAGAAGGGGCCAAGGTACAGCTCAGGCCGTTGCTTCAGAGGATGCAAGCCCCTAGCATTGGCAGCTTTACATGATGTTGAGCCTGTGGGTGCACCGAAGACAAGAATTAAGGTTTGGGAACCTCCCCCTAGATTTCAGAGAATGTATGGAAACACTGGATGACCAGGGAGAAGTCTGCTGGCAAGGTCCAAGCCCTCATGAAGGCCCTCTGCTAGGGCAGTGCAGAGGAGAAATGTGGGGTTGGAGCCCCCACATAGAGTCCCTACTAAGATACAGTCTAGTGGAGTTGTGAGAAGAGGGTCATCATCCTTCAGGCTCCAGAATGGTAAATCCACCAACAGTTTGCAACATGCAAAGCCTCAGGCATTCAACACCAGCCCATGAAGGCAGCTGTGGGGGCTGTACCCTGCAAAGCCACAGAAGCAGAACCGCCCAAGACCTTGGGAGCCCACTTCTTGCATCAACATTCCCTAGATGTGAGACATGGAGTCAAAGGAGATTATTTTGGAACTTTAAGATATAATGACTACCCTGCCCGGTTTCAGACTTCCATGGGGCATGTAGCCCCTTTGTTTTGGCCAATTTTTCCCATTTGGAATGGGAACATTTACCCAGTGCATGTACCCACATTTTATCTTGAAAGGAAATAACTTGCTTTTGATTTTACAAGCTCATATGTGGAAGGAGTGTGCGTTATCTCAGAGGAGACTTTGGACTTGGACTTGGGATTAATGCTGGAATGTGTTAAGACTTTGAGGGACTATTGGGAAGGCATGATTGTGTTTTGAAATGTGAGAAGGACACGAGATTTGGGAGGGGCCAGTGGCAGAATGGTATGGTTTGGCTCTGTGTCTCCACCTAAATCTCATCTTGTATTGTAATCCCCTTGTGTCAAGGGACGGACCCGGTAGGAGGTGATTGGATCATGAGGGTGGTTCCCCCATGCTGTTCTCATAACAGTGAGTGAGTTCTCATGAGACCTGATGGTTTAAACGTATTTGGCAGCTTCCCCTTCTTGCTGTCTCTCTCTCCTACCACCACATAAGATGTGCCTTGCTTCTCCTTCACCTTCTGCTATGATTGTAACTTTCCTGAGGCCTTCCCAGCCATGTGGAACTGTGAGTAAATTAAACCTTTTTTGCTTTATAAATTACCAAATCTGAGGCAGTTTTTACAGCAGTGTGAAAATGGACTAATACAGTTGGGCATTTTTGTTTCTTTCTTTTTCAGTAGATCTGATCTTGTTCTAAAATGGTTGTTTGTCTTTTTAAATTATCATGCTACTCCTTGGGTGTCTATTTACTTAAATTAACTCATGGTCCACTGAGGTTATTGATTATTCTATTAATAGTAGCTCTTGATATGTATTGGGTTAGTGTTAATGTCAAGTCATGATGTGTGCCCACCAAGTGTGTGCACTTTGGTGACTAAGTTGAAGGGAGTGATACACTTCAGCGTGGAATGTTCCAGCAAAGTTCCTCTTGTTGCAACTCCACAGGCAATTACTCTGGTCAGGGATTCACCTTTATCCCTGAAGGGAGACATATCAGTAGAAGCTGGCAATTTTGTTAGATTTTAATCCACAAAATCCAAGAATTGAGAGAAGGAAGTCATAGAAGATTGAATATCCAAAGGAGGTAATGGTTACCAGAGGCAACACTGGGGAAAAGCAAATGTCAGATGCTGTACACCTCAAACATCTTCAATCTTTATTTGTCAATTAAATTTTAATTTTTTTAAAGCTTGCCTCTTATTTTATGTTACTTTTGCCTATAGTTACTCACCTTCTCCACACCTATAACATTTCAAGACAATCTTCTGTCTTCCTGAGAAGTTTTCTGAGTTTTGTTGGTGTTATTGGTGGCAAATAGCTTTGACAGTGGTTTCGGAAATCATGTTTCATATCCTTTCAGAGCTGATTATGGAGGAGGGAATCAACAGCCTTTGCTTTTGAGTATATTGTGAGGAAGCTAAATGTTTATTTTTATATTTGCAGCCTTATGTAAATAGATAAGATGTGTAGGTACTCAATATATTCTCAATTAACTAAAGAATTTTGTGGATATCAAATTATTCTTTATCTCATGGCAAATATTATCATGAAAATAACTTTGTATTTTGTTAATAATATAAAACATTGGATTTAAAACTAACAAAAGAAAACTCCTTACTAATGAAAATGCTTTGATGATCTTTAAAACACATATTGCTATAAAAACTTATATGAAATGATCAACCAGTTATCTAAAGAAACTTTTAAGAGTCAACTTTTAAGATCAGTTTTTACTCTAATGGACATTTATTCAGTGATATAAAAAAATTAAAAGCCAGGCGCGGTGGCTCACCCCTGTAATCCCAGTACTTTGGGAGGCTGAGGCTGGCGGATCACGAGGTCAGGAGATCGAGACCATCCTGGCTAACACAGTGAAACCCCGTCTCTACTAAAAATACAAAAAAAAAAATAGCCGGGCGTGGTGGCGGGCGCCTGTAGTCCCAGCTAATCGGGAGGCTGAGGCAGGAGGATGGCGTGAACCCGGGAGGCGGAGATTGCAGTGAGCCGAGATCGCATCACTGCACTCCAGCCCGGGCGACAGAGCGAGACTCCATCTCAAAAAAAAAAAAGAAAGAAACAAAAACAAAACAAAGCAAAACAAAAATTAAACTGTTTTTTCTTCAGGTGTAGTGAAAATGTAATACATATATATAATTTATAGAATTACCTGGAAATAAGAGAATGTGTTTTATAAGTAAATATATACATATACACACACACACAGGTGTATATGTATGCATGAATGTGTGTATATTTATACTGTGTGTATATGTGTATATATGTACACATATATGTATGTGTATATATATGTACACACATACACAGACACATACACACATATATATAGGGACATGATTATGCTTTTTACTCAACTTGAAAATACAAATTCTACAATTGTATTAAGTTGAACTATTTATTAATTACCTCATTTTAAGGAAAATATCATATATTATTTAATTTTTATGATTAAAAATACTCTGATAAAATTAAATCGTTAATGAATGCAGAATATAGTTAAAAGATGGAAGTACATTTGAAATCTGAGATACAAAATAGCAGGACTTGAATTTTGCTATTGTATTAAGAGCAAAGTAATATTTCAAATGTAGAAATATATTCAGAGGAGATTTAGCTTATTTAAACATTTTTGTCTTCTACCATTATATCAGAAATTCAGGTCATATTGCATTATATAAAATGAGCACTTCATACATTCACTATAAATTTTATAATATTTACAAAAAACTTTATTGTCTATGATAACTTTCACCTTAATAACATAAGATGATATTATAGGGTACGTAACTATGTAAAATATTGTTTCCTTGTGGACTTTCAGAACAACTACTATGAAATAGCCAACATAGTGGCAAACAGTAATTATGAACATTATACAACCCTGCTTATCAACAGGAATAGGCAAGTCAGAGAAGTAAAAGCTTGTATTTCATTTCTACACAAAATAAAAATGAATTTTCCAAATTGCTGAACTAAATGAACATGTGAGTAAATAATTTCTAATGCCCATAATTTATGTTTGTTAACATTTGCCTGTGTGACCAAAATATAATAGCACAAAATGACCTTGGAAAATATATGGAAATATGTCTAAGTCATAGAAGCAAACCATGGTATGCCTCATATCTCATTTGTTAGAAATTCCTCTCTGCCCTTTTCTGGTTTTGTATTGTTAGTATTAAGCTCTTATGGTCAGGGTTTTCTTTCATAGCTAACAAATAAAACTCTAGGCCTTTGGCTTTCTAAAGCCAAAGGGGAAAAGAAGACAGAAAGAGAAAGCTAAAAATGGAGAAAATGTTTAATTCTCTCTTATGGCTATGGAAATGCAGACACCATTCTGTGTCAAGGAACTAGTTTTGATAAAGTGGTGAATTGAGAATATTAACAAAAGCATCAATCTTATTTGCCTTTTAAATGTGAAGACATATGGAAATGTATAATCCTCTTCAAGTTAGTGTTTAATGAACATGTATTTTAAGGCCAATGCTCTACAAACATTGTTACTATGTCCTCTAAAATACAATCTTTAATCCTTGAAAGTGTTCCCATCTATTTTATTCTTTTTCCGAACTAAATAGTTGCCATGTTAACATTTAAAATATATTTTATATTTTTATGAACACTTTAATAATACCTATGAAGCCTTTTGTTAAGCCAGAGAAGAAACTACATTTACCATTCTCTCCCTTCATGCATGAAAGTATGATTTAGATGGATTCCTTATTAAAACAAATAATTTAACAGTCTTTCATACTTAATTTAAGAAAATAAAGTACTCTATATAAATGATGGTCCCCCAAACTGGACAAAGTCAATGAACTGTGCCTTAGTTCTTGACCATTTGTATCCAGAAATATTTTTCCTTTTATCATAGTATTTAGATTTTACCAAGTCATTATTTTGACTACTATGGTTAAAATATACACTCTATGAAGGAAGAAAGATGCCTATCTAGCCCACCACTTTGTCCCCAAGCTCCCAATACACTCCTGACACACAGAAATCATTCACTAAATATTTATTGAATAAAACAGTGAATTATGAAATTGATAGATGATTGTTTCATTGAGGATTTGGAATTTGAGCTAATAAGTTCTTGAAGGATACCATAGTGAGGGAAAGGGCAAGAAGATGATACTCTGCTGAGTATATGGGAAACATAAAGTTTTTAAAATGCCTGACTATAGTATTTATCAGGATTGTATTTGCACCTAAGATATAAAGTTAAGTTAGAGAAAGTATTTTGGAGAACTGATTTTCAAACCAAGACAGTTTTGGAAGTCTGGTATATATGAGTAAAAGGTTTCAATTTCTCTTTTAAAAAACAGCAGTATTAAATAATATAGAAGATATTGTATAGGAAATATATTCCAGATATGAAAGGACTAGAGGAATGGAGCTTTATTAAAATTAAAATGTATTAAGCAAACTAATTTCTGAAAGCTAAAAATGATTTCTCAAATATATTTATATAACATGTGCTATAGAAATAGTTTCATAAAATATAAACAAAAGTCTCACAGAGTCAGAGTAAGAAAAAGTTATATCATTACGAAATTTCTTTCACATAACTAAAATTTCAAGGCAGCCATCTTTGTCTTAAAATCTAGAATGTAAAACCAGGAAACAGTAGAATTTGCCTTTAGAAATGCTTTATCTCTAGCATTTCTTAATGTGGAGTCAGTATTTATTGAATAAGTAAACATTTCTGCAAATTTTAAATATTTATTACTTGTTACAGGGGTTTCCAGTGAGCTTTTTTATTGAAAAATTATACTTCCTAATTTACCAGAAAGATACATACAATCTGCAAGGTCCAGAATGAAATCCTTCAAAATCTAATTATGAACTCATTAATGAGTCATACACATTAAAAAGAGTTAACATGTTTATAAATGCAGAACATCTTGTTTTTATTAATTTAATCTATTTTGTGTTAGTCAAGTAGGCCCAGACTGGTCAGCACTAATTTTTCTCTCTGTCCCTCGGGTATATATCTCTTCAAATCCTTTTAAAAATGTCGCCAGGTTTCTGGTGGAAGACAAAGCTATTACCTTAAATAATGTTTAAAAGTTAGTTTAGGCTTTGTAGACTTTCTTGTGTGGATGAGTGTCAGAGGTTAATACCAACAAAATATGGAAAATACATGTTGATGAGGGAAAGAAGTGGGTACGGATATTGATAAGCTAAGAAATGGGCTGTTTGAGTGTGTTCATTTTCTCAACTTTGCTGACAAAAAATTGAAAAAACAGAAAAGGTTGCCTATGCCCAGAAGCTGAGTTCTGTAACTGATTAGTCTCTGTGGTGCAGAGATTCACCAGTACCAGGGACCAATTAAGTTCTGATGATGGCGACCTCAACTAGGACTAATTTATTGTCAGGGAACCCTAGGAGGTCAGTGACCAGCCTGTGCCCACATAGGCATTTGCTCCCCTAGTGTCTCAGCAGACAGAATTTCCCCGTCCAAGCAAACTTCCTGACCCAGCCTGAAAACCACATGTCACTCACTGAATTTAAAAGATCGTATGAGAAAGAAGAAAAAAAATGTTTAAGTAATTACATTATAAAATGTCTTTCATAAATTAGTTTTTGGGTTTGTTTTTATTTTTTAATATAGAGTTCCTCCCCAGACTGAAGCAAATAAAAATTTGGTGAAGATAATGACTAAACTCCATGGAAATGGCCTTTATAAAAGCCCAGTAAAATTCAGTTAAAAGCAATGGGTCAAACTAGGAAGATATATACAAATCAATTTAGAATATCTATAAGTGCAATTAATATAGTGAGAAATCAGGAATTCAATATCCATAAAACTGGGGGCAGTGCAAAGAAGAGGGGTGAGTAACCAGACAGAAAAGCCTAGTGCAGAGTTTCTCGAACTTGACACTGTCGACATTTGGGGCCAGATAATTCTGTGCTTATGAAGGGTTGCCCTGTAAAATCAACAATATCTCCATATGTTGTCAAATGTTCCCTAGGTGTCAAAATCAACTCTATTTGAGAACCAATGGTTTAAAGACAGGAGTTGAGCAGTGGATCAAAAATTTAGGCCTATCTATGCAAAATAGTAAGGAATGAATCAAAATAAAGTTGTGCAATAGATACAGATGACTAGTGATACCATATTCTGTCTCAGCAATTAATAATGGTACAAAGTAATTACAAAATGACACTCATTGTTAAGCCCCTCATTCGTTATATTTTATTTTAACTTCATAAGGTATGACATAAATATTATTTTGGCTCCTATTTTATAGAAAAGAAAAATAAGGTTGGTAGATAGTAACATCATAGTAAATATTATATTATTATTCACGTAGGCCTAAATTCACAAACTATGAATAATAATTAGAGGATGCTGGCCAGGCACGGTGGCTCACGCCAGTAATCCCAGCACTTTGGCAGGCTGAGGTGGGCAGATCACGAGGTCAGGAGATCGAGACCATCTTGGCTAACACTAGCCATCTCTAGTAAATATACAAAAAATTAGCCAGGCGTGGTGGCGGGCGCCTGTAGTCCCAGCTACTCAGGAGGCTGAGGCAGGAGAATGGCGTGAACCCGGGAGGCAGAGCTTGTAGTGAGCCGAGATCATGCCACTGCCCTCTAGCCTGGACCACAGAACAAGACTCCATCTAAAAAAGAAAAAAAAGAAAAAAAGAATTAGAGCATGCTGCCTTAGTTTTTTTGTATGTTTCCTTCTTGGAAAGGAAGCAGTGTTTGGATACCCTAGATCTAAGCTTTAAGAGTTGGTAAGTATCAGTGGACTCCAGGAATTGCACAAATAATAATCAAGGTTCTTTTCATGTGCTAATTTACTTCTTCCAGCTATCAATACTGCTTATTACCTACATTAGCATAGTAAGACACAGAGACAAAGCTGAAGAGAAAATGTTAGGATTTCATTTCATGTGCTCACATTAACTCTGGCTTCATTGCGTTGTCATATTATAGTTTTCATTTTTCTACATTGCCACAGTTTTATTTCATTGTATGTACTTTTATATGTGTTTCTGTAAGCATTGGAATCATTTGAAAGAACATGGGTTATTTGTAAATATTAATAACTCAGAAGTTCAACAGTATGAATGGTAGAGCCACATAAACCCATGTAAAATTCAGAATTTAATGTGAATTTTAGTAAAGTATTTAAATTTTCTCTTTAAATAATTTGAGTGTTTTCTCAGTTGCAACATAAATATGACCTCTGCTATGTTTTTTGGTAGATGTAATATTGGAAGATATTTAATATGCAGAGTTTATCTCTGGCTATGTAGATATTCAAAAGTTATATGATTCACCTCCGTTTATTTTATGACTGTCAGAATAAAGGAAAAATTCATAAAGTATATCTTCAGTGCTAGATGTAAATCAAATAAAATATGTATGGTGGGGCCATTTTTATTTGAATTTGCTCCTGTTGATAGGGACTGTGCTTTGTGGCTGTCTGATAGATATGAAACATTTTTATTTATTTCTTTTCCTTTTCCCAAAGTGAGATGACTATCACTGTGACTCATTCTTTTAAGTTGCTTCTATATGGTGACTAATGAGTTCACTCAAACACCTGGTCAATCCACTACACAATATCCAGCTGTTCACTTAATAGAAATAGCGCCTGCAGGCACACACCAGCTTGGTGTGCAAAAATGAAATGCATATTTGAAAAGCTGTTTTAGGCTCAAATTATTAATAAGTTACCTCCATCAGAGCACTTTAAATATAGGGGAAGAAAATTGGCCTGGAGGAGGACAGGATCTTAATATATTTATTACAAAATTGAAAAGAAACTGTTTTGCTATTGAAATGAATATAGCAGTATGGGGTGTGTATGATTTTACAAGGAGTTTGCAAACATTAATATACTATAATATGTAATAATCACATAACTGGGGCTGAGATATATTCCTAATAAATGGTAAAAAAAAATGTAGGTATTACACGCTCTCTAAAATTCTCTCAAGGACGTGAAGTTTTACTTGGATTTTGAAAAATTGATGTATATATAGCCTGAGAGAGTTGAAAAGATGTCTATTCACTAAGATGGGTAGAATGAAGTGCAGAAAAAAAGACAGGAAAGTGGAGGACAAATATCTAGGAAAATAGATGGACAAAGAATAATCTGGTGGTATTATGCAAGATGAATATGAGTGTCTGTAGGGTAATAGGGGGAGCAAGTTTAGCAGTGAGAACAGTATAAAATCTATTGCGATTATTCAAACATGAAGTAAAAAGAGGCTGAACTCACCGAATTGCGGTAGAATAGAAATGACAGATGTGTGAGATATTGCACATGATAAATCAGGTCTTCTTTTTTCAATCTCCAAAATAGCCGGATAGTTAAATATGCTGGTAATACAAATTTATGGGTGTGGTAAACAAGAAACAATGTAAATGAGAATTTGAAAGGGTCTGGAATGTTTTGATAAACAAGCTAGTTGGCAAGCACATTTAAATGACAGCTCCTGTGAAGAAAAATATGTTCGATAATAATTAAACACCATCAGGAATTAATGGTTTGATTCATGAAGGAGCAGTGCTTATCTTTCAGTCAATAGAACCCATAGCTACATTTATCATCCACACAAAATAATATTTATCACATTTTAAAATTTATAAAACATTTTTACATACTTTATCTCATTTGACATTAAAAGGCCACCTTCAGGAAGACATAGCTCATATTGTAATGGGCATTTTTTAAGTGCAGTCACTCATTGATTTCATTGTGTAGCCATCCCATTGAGTAGGAGTACATTCCCGGCTGTATAGCAGAGATGCTATGTTAGGCAGAGACTTATTTGCAGTTGTAAGCTTAAGAAGGTGTATCAGTCATTGTCCTGGAAGGAAAAATTGTCTTCGAGGAACGTTTAAAATGTTTAAATGTTTGCAGTACCCGGCTGGGCGTGGTGGCTCACGCCTGTAATCCCAGCACTTTGGGAGGCCGAGGCTGGCGAATCACGAGGTCAGGAGATCGAGACCATTCTGGCTAACACGATGAAACCCCGTCTCTACTAAAAATACAAAAAATTAGTCGGGCATGGTGGCGGACGCCTGTAGTCCCAGCTACTCGGGAGGCTGAGGCAGGAGAATGGCGGGAACCCGGGAGGCGGGGCTTGCAGTGAGTCGAGATCGTGCCACTGCACTCCAGCCTGGGCGACAGAGTGAGACTCCATCTCAGAAAAAAAAAAAAAAAAAAAAAGTTTGCAGTACTCGAAGGTGAATGAAAGCAGGGAGCTTTTGTCTCTATGGAAAGAGGAAGGTGAATTTACAAGAACCCCACAGGAACTACCATTTGGTAGAGAAATGTGACCAACATGTAGGAGCCTGGGAGGGGATCAGCAGGGAAGCAGGAAAATAAATTCTTCACCTTTTCCTACTCCCTGCTCCCTATAATTCTGATCTTCTCTTAACTGCTTCTCGGTAGCCAAACCCATCCACGAGCCAGTGGAATGGAATCTGTTGACCTAGTCTGTATGAGGAAGCCTCCCTAGAGCTAGAGAAGAGTAGAACTATATGGCAAGTGGCTTAGGAAGGAAAAAAATATCCAGCAATAAATCTGTGGTGTGTCGTTAAGAAAAGGTGTCAAAATAACTACAGTAAATTATACGACTATATGCATCTTCCTTACCCAGAGATTCATTCTAGGCGAATGGTCAAAAACAATTTTTTCCAGAGAAGTTTACTCAGATTTGTCAAGTGAAAATGTCCTGGTCTAACTTAACTGGACCAGAAAAATTACCCTAAAAAATATATGGGATTGGGCATGAGTAAAACTGACCATTTTTGAGGGCACTGTATGTTCAATATGCCCCAGATAGATCCATAATAAAAACATTATGTGCACAAACATTAGTCGGTTTCCTGAAGTTCTGGTAGCCATAAATAAAAGTAATTGTGTATTGTTTTCTGGATCCCACAGTTTTTTTTCTTTATCATATTGCACAAATTGAGATGCTGCTTCAAGTTCCCTTACATGCTTTTTAGAAGAGTCCTGTTTCCAGAAGTAATTTATGAATAATTCACTCTTTCACCACTTAGAAAGTTAATTAAAACATAGAGTTGCCATAAAGTTCCTAATTATTCCTATAACTATTTCATAAATAAGTAGTTTAAATTGAATATTCAAATGTCAAGCCCATGGTAAAATTCTCCAAAAATTATTAAGTGTTGTGGCAGACACTATCAGATCTCACTAACACACATAGTCTGCCTCTCCTTTGGTACCCACCATATTAATTTTAGATCATGTGATTGGCATTGGCAATTTACTCATAAAACAGTTATGTGTCTGGATTTTGTCAGACTCCGTCTAACAGCAGGGGCACAATTCTCTAAGTTGTCCTCCTTCGTCGTGACAAACACTGATACCCAATACCACAAAGGCTACAGGGAAAGATGCTGGGGACTGCTGCACCTTTGGTGCCTATTTGATTACAATGAGCAGAGCCCCTTGAGGACCAGCAGTAGAAATATACAAAGAATAAGTATTAACTTTTATTGTTTTAATACCCTGATATTTTGAGGATTGATACAAAGAGATCCACCTTTAAGAATGCAGCTAATGAGACTTCAAGTAATAAATAATGTCCTAGCATAGTTTGGGCTTACAATGGGTCCACTGGCTCAAAAGACTTATTTTCACTTCCCTTTTTCACAAATGTATAATTGGAATAAACATTATATTCTGTCAGCTGAAAAAAATGTTCATATTTGTTCCTTGGTTAGTAGGGTGAGATCTGCAGTAGTGAAGAAGGGCAAGTAGAATTATCAATAAGTGCTGCTTCCTACTCAACATATTGTGTCAAAAGTAATATAGTATTGTGTGGCAGGGGAAAATATGAGATTGGATATTCTTGAAAAAATGACACAGGTGATATTCCCTCATTACATCCTCTTTTTGATTTACCAGTGTGACCCTTACAAAAGCACTCTGGAGAATAAAAGTAAATGAATGCAAATTCAAGAAAATCATAGATCCAATTACAGCTGCTATTCCAGATGTTTATTTGCTCAAGTAGATTGGCACTCACTCAGATTCACTAACATACAGACATTAATGTGGGAATAGCAATTTTCCCCCACCCCTCTGAGAAAATAAGGGCATCAACGATTACATTTATGTAAAATGGTAACAATATACATTTATGAATTAGCTCGAGGACTATGTTAACTCTCATGCCATTTGTCTGACATAGTCCAAAGAGACTGTACCTGACAAGAATATCACATTGTTCCACTATATTGTTGACATCGTGTTAATCCAATCAAATCAGAAAGTAGCAAGTATGTTGGTCTGGAGTGTATGTGATACAATCTACCTAGTTTCAGAGGCCATGGAGCATGCCTTGACAGCTCTCCAAAACAAACAACAAATTATTGTACCTAGTTTCATCTACCATAGGAAAGGAAACTCCTGAAGCAGAGAAATCAATGTTTGTTTTTTTAAACCATGTTTTATAGTGAACCTTTTCATTCTGAGCAGAATATATAGTAACATATCATGGTGGGAATTTAAAGAGCAATTATTACAAAACTCTGTATTGAGGAGGTTTCTACCGTGGTGTTGATGAAAATTCAGAGAATTAAAAAGTGTGCGATAGGTTTTTAAGGTTTAACTGAACAACCTTCTATTGGATGTAGAAGATCATATAAAGTAAAAGGCCAAGGATTGTATAAAATTATTAAATTAGTCTATTCTGTATGTAGAGTTGAAACCTAAATAAACATGGAAGAAATATTTAGAGCATGTTAAATTGCTTGAGGAATCCAAGTGAGAATGATAAGAAGGAAATAGATTTCTGGATCTGAGCTAGAATATACATATATAAAATTTGAACTGCTAAACACATATTTAATATCAAAATCCAGAAGCCTCAAAGAGCTGACTTTAGTTTGACAAAGAAGTGGAATCAAAAATAACTCTTTGGTTACTGCAACAGTTTTTTTAAAGGAGTAGAATGGGCAAAGGATACTAAGAGACAAACATTCAGTAAGGGAACAATCAAGAGTGCTGGGTTATCAAAATGAATACAGATATGTGCTTAAAGAAAAATGGACAAATTAGTTATATCCTTCATTTCAGTTGGAGTAAAATATGAATAAAAATGTGATCATTTGATTTGATGTTGAGAATGTCATTTTTGTGTTCATTGGAATGGTGGGGAAAAAAAAAAAGTCTTTTGCCAATTATGCCAGATGTGGCTTTTGGTAAAGACAAATCAGAGACAGTTAGAGAATGGTAATTGAGTGATGCTGAAATGGAATCAGCAATGTACTTTTTTTTTTTTTTTTTTTTTAGATGGAGTCTCGCTCTGTCTCCCAGACTGGAGTGCACTGGCGCAATTTCCCAAAGTTGTGGGATTACAGGCATGAGCCACCATGCTGGGTGCAATGTCCTTTTTTAAGAGGCAATTTTGCTCTAAGAGAGGTAGAAGAGTGATATGGGAGTAGTGAGATTGGAGAGTATATAAATGCCAGGGCAAAAAAAACAGAGCTTTCTACATTATTTTCCTTTCAAACTTGGAGAACCAAGACATGCATGTTTCTATGATGTTTGAGATTTTTCAGTAAAGTAGGGTAAATGAATAAAGAAAGAGAGAAACAGAATAAATATAATATGGAATCATGTCTTTTCAAAAGGTAAGTGAGATAGGAAACTGAGAAGAAAGGAAATGCTACACTCCTGTCACAACATTAGCCAGAAACAAATCATCTGCAAGTTAATGTCTCTCTCTAGTTACGCTTTCTGTAAGCCCTGATGGATCATTTTACTGGAACATTATGTATATTTGGTTATTTTATTATTCTCTGTCCTTGAAACCCACATATAAACATTTGTTATTTATTTGAGACTCTGTTCATATTTTCTTTGAAAAAAATGGTATCCACCTGCATGCTGCATCAACTCATCTCATGTCCACCAATGAAATGAAACTATCTTTTATTCTCAAAAAATATATACAGTCTTTTTCCTACTGTCATTTTTCTCTCTATTTTTTTTATAGTGTTTTATCACATCCAGTTGTTCCTCCACATATTTGAATATTTGTGCTTGCTAGTGCCATATTCCATATTCCATTTCATATTACCTCTCTGTTCCCGTATATAATAAACTCACTAAAGAAGACTGTCCCATGCAAGTGATTTGTATTGAGCAAAGCCTTCCCGTACATGCACTATTTTCTAGATTCTCACCATTTGATGCCTTTCACTTGCCATTCAATTTTGTGCAAAACATATTGATGTCAAAGAATAATGTTTTCTGAGGAGTTGGTCTGCCAAAGTTGTGGGAGTTTCAATCTTCAAAAGGAATAAATAGACAACAGTTTGACTATGTGGCTTAGTCTAAAGTGTAATCTTAGAGATTTATACTAAAACTATACTACAATATATACAGATCTGGATTTCCTTATATGCTCTTCTGCAATGTAACTTCACTAGCTCTCACACATCATAAACTCTCCAAAAGGTAATTGATTTCATGTTTGTGTACAGTGACAACTGCTTCTTTGTCTCAGCACATTTCCAGTCATTCCTAAATAATTTATTGAAAAGTTAATTTTTAAAATAAATAAAAAATACTCACTGCTTCTTCCTTGGTGTTTTTGTGAAAATAAAAGATGTTAACAATATATTATACATTATTATTAAATTTTCGTTATGACTATTCAGGTATTTTTACATAAATATAATTAATATTACTTAAATAATGTAAAGATGTTGAAAATGATAAATCAGTAGAGCTTTCATTTATTTGAAACTATCACAACATATGTGTGGTTAAAATAAAACATTATCTGGAGACTTTATAATTTTATTTCTACATTTGTGGTTGTGCAACGTAAATATTAACAATAATTTCAAAGTAAAATTTTGCAATTTCAGAAAAGATCTATAAAGACATTTGAAGTCGTAAGGCTACATTGATGTTAGCTATGCTTTGTGACAAAACTATGCCAACTATACCAAATATTATCTAAAATTAAAGATAAATTGATTTCATTCAAAAAGATTTGCAATTATTTTGCTTCAGTAGAGATATTGTAATGAAGTAATATAAAAATTAGCCATCAAAGACTTGACTTCTGAACACATAGAAAATGATCTGCCTCACTGAATTCTTGTTAATTTTACAAAGTGAGATGTTTATAGCATACAACATTGTTATTATATAAATTTATAATACATTTCACATTTATTGATTTTCTGTTTATTTCCTTGATTTTATTTTTCTCCTAGTGGTGGCATTTTATCTTTAGTTAAAACATTTCAATAAGATCCCTTTACTGCACTGATGCTGTCATCAGACTGAGCCAAAAACATCTGAAAATGTTGACAAAGCAAGGTGATTTTGAATTTGTGACAAGCACTGCTTTAAGCTTCAGTTTCACAGAAAGAAAACAGTCCCTTTTACAGACCTACATTACAAGTAAGTACACAAGCAAGTATCAACATAAATATTTGAAAACAAATGATTATATATTTATCAATTAAATTGGTATTGGGATGTGTGTGTGTGTTACTCTTCACTTCAAACACTAGGAATACCAGATAAGCTACCATCTATGTATGGATGATAAATAAAATATGATTAATATCACACTGAAAATAGTTCTCATAAAGCCCATTTAGGGATTTTGTTACAGTACTTGAAAAAAATCGATTTGCTAGCAACATAATAAAATCTTAGAAATTTTAAAAAGTGATGTTTTCTGGAATGTCATCACAGCTAAATACATCAGATAA
Organism: Homo sapiens; assembly: GCF_000001405.40. Classification (NCBI taxonomy): domain Eukaryota; kingdom Metazoa; phylum Chordata; class Mammalia; order Primates; family Hominidae; genus Homo; species Homo sapiens. The sequence continues at coordinate 27,487,835 of NC_000005.10, read as the reverse complement.
TGTGATATATGAGAGAAAAAGATTTTATATCCTTGTATTCTTGGTGTATTAAATAATTGATAGGGTTGTCTTCACTATAATATTAAAAAGGCATTGCCCTTCTAAATGGTATATGTTTTAATAATCATTTTCTCAAATTGTTAGGCTTAGTGGGTTTGATTTTAATTTAATAATTTATTGACTTTGGCATAAGATTGCATAACTGCAGGAACAAAGATTTTTTAACATTTTATTGTATAATTTTCAATAAAACAGAATTCCAACAGTTGTGAGAAATGAAAAAATCAAATACTATATGAGCTTAAGTTCTGCTGAAAATTTGCTAGGTTAAAATAAGAGCACGTTGGGCACTTTAACACTTCAAACTTAAGCAAAATATAATATTCTGGTCCACAGGTACACACAATGGCTATTTTTGCAGTCCAGTTTCTTTAGAAATTGCATACCTATTTCAATGTAATATTCCTAAAGTGCTTCAGGGTAATTTTTACAAATCATGATCTTTTGGAATAATTCATTAATTTAACTAATATTTATCAATGTATGCCTACTATAAAATCATTCCTGAATATTATCAATTTTAATTCAGTGTGAAATTCTTCCTCCTTAACTTTAATTCTCTTTCTTTCTCTCTTTTTTTCCTCTCCCCTCCTTTCTTTGTTCTTTCCTGACCACCCTCCTTCCTATCCTCCATCCTTTATTTCTTGTATTTTTGAAAGAGATAATTTGGGATTCTTTGGCAGCCAAGAGGATTGGCAGCCAAGCTAAGCGTGTATGGAATATAAAGAGAAAACACTTGAGATTGAGGTAAATCTTGAACAGCATTGAAAGTCAAGTTGGCGTTAACTAGATAAAATGTGACTAGGAGATGGGCATAGGCAAATAAACACATGGAAAGGTGAGGGAAAGGGCAAAAATCAAATAATGTAATGACACTGAGGGAGTATACTTTGCATGTGAAGAAGTGACATAAAAAAGGTCATGCAGGAAATGAGGGTACATGTTGTTACAAATCCTAGTTGCCATCACAAGAACTATTACTTTTAATATAAAAAAATGAGGAAAGCACAGGATTATAAGAAGAAAATGTCAGGATCACAATTGCTTTCTGAAAAACATCTTCACTGCCTCTATTGTTCAGTAAATTGTAAGATAAAGTACTTGTGGGAAGATCTTTGTAAGTTTTTATTTAAACAGGAATCAGCTGGGCTTGGGAAGCCAGGGCGGATCACTTGAGGTCAGGAGTTTGAGACCAGCTTGGCCAACATGGCAAAACCCCTCTACAAAAAATACAAAAAATTTAGCAGCTCGTGGTGGTGCATGCCTGCAATCCAAGCTACTCGAGAGGCTGAGGCACAAGAATTACTTGAATCAGGGAAGTGGAGTTTGTAGTGAGCTAAGACCGCACTACTGTACTCCACCATGGGTGACAGAGTGAGACTCCACCTCAAAAAAAACAAAAAAAAACACAAAAACAGAAATCAATCAGCTTTGATGATTAAAATAACACAGACCAACAACGATGATTGAAAAATCATTTAAAAAAGCACTATGTAAAATATCATTTAAAAATAGCACTATGTATTATTACTATGTATACATATGTACATACACATATACATCACATATTTCTTGTGTATATTAATAACATTATTTACCCTATCATAGGTAAGTTATTTCAATTTTTAATTTTTTGATTTAATAAGGATATTTGTCTCAATTAGTTCAGCTTAAGAAAACATCTATTCAATTTGGACATCTATTTGTCCAGCACAAGCTTTTCTGCTAAGCAACAATTTTCCAGCTGCATAAAGGCATTGTCAATTGCATTTGTCACAAGTACTTCAAATCTAATTTGTTCTAAACAGGGTTTACCTTCATGATACTTTACAAAAACTATTTCAAATTATTGCTCATATGGCTTATTGATATCCTATTAGTCTACAAGCAAGACATTTTCCAATCCTCTAAATCTTCCCTTCCCTCAATTTGCTATGTCTGACTGAGAAACCTTATTGCATCTATGTCATGAATACTTTTAAATCCGATTTCCTTTGTTCACTCACCCTGGTGAATTAGAAAAGATATATATCACTAATTTACTATTTTCCATATTTTCTCTAAGTATCAATGACATTAGGCTAATTGCTTTTTCTATTTTCTATTCTATCACATTTTTATTCCATCCCCCAATTTCAGTCCATCTTTCACTTTCAGTCCATTAACCAAAACGTAGACTAGAATGCATGTCTCCTACTTTCATCCTTAGAGTTCTTATCTATTGCACTCTAAAACAAGATGTCTCGGAATAGGCTAGGAAGCCTAGTATTATCTTGAACACTTCAAACCCTTTAGCTTCATATTGTCACTCCTTTTTCCACTTCTTCCCATATGTATGCTTATGCAATATTCAGCTAATTGCACTTTACCTAATTTAATCATTGTTTGTGGCTTTATTCCTTAGCTTATGCTCCCCCTTTGAACAAAATCTCCCTTCCCTCTCTTCTTATTCCATCTGGCTACAGGATACCTACCCTCTGAGACTAATTTGTAAATATATTTTCTTCCCAGCATACTTTCCAAATCACTTCAGGTTGCGATAAATATATTTTCTATATGCTCAAATGGAATCTTAATGTTACAGGTGGAGCTGTTCAATGTTATTTAATAAATCACAATGCAATTTTAAGTACCATTAGACCGTTTTTTCTCATAATTTACTGATATTTGTAGACTCTTATTACTTATTGTCCTTAGCAGTCTACTTTGAATCAGTTACAAGGGCACAAATATCACTTTAAAGTACCTTTAAATTACATCTTTTAAAATTCATAAGAAAAGCATAAAGCAGTACTTATGCTTTTCCTCATCCATGTTTTCAAGAGTTCTGACATTTTCAGAAAGTGTTTCCTGAAAAAGAAAGGTGAGACGGTGTTTAATAAGAAAAGAAAATGCAAGCTTATGAAATAAGAAAACTTTGTGCCATTAGATGATAACCTCTTTATTTTTGGCTTTCTATTGTGCACACAGGCAAGCTCTCATGTAAATTAACGTATCTTTGAAAGTGTATCTATTTTCTAGAAGAAATACATTCCTTGATAAAATCCAGTCTATTGTAATCCCAGCTACTTCGGAGACTGAAGCAGGAGAATTGCTTGAACACGGGAGGCGGATGTTGCAGTGAGCTGAGATAATGCCATTGCACTCCAGTCTGGGCAACAAGAGCAAAACTCCAACTCAAAAAAAAAAAAAAAAAAAAAAAAAAAAAAAAAATCCAGTCTACTAATCACAGTCTAACCTATGTAAAATCTCCTTACATCTGACCCTCAAGCCATCTCAAAATCGAGACTATTATAGAAAGTTTTACGTATGTATGACCTTACTGAATTTATAGCATAAAAAATTTAATTTTTAAATGGCAAAGTGCACCATAAAAAGAAGCCTAAGAAATTAAAGTCTTTTTGTTTATATATCATATCTTGTTTAGCATAATTTTATGTTAAAAATTTACTAAACTAAGATCATGGCTCATTAAAATTTAGCCAATAACCAAACAATTCTTCAAAATGAAAATTTAACCAGCATTATTTTATCTAAGGTGGATGAAATATAGGAGCTTTACCAAATAATTTTAGTTATCGGGTAGTTTAAGTTTAGTTACATTATTGGATATAGGATATACATAAATGTGTTACACTATTGGACGGGACTTGTAAGAGTCTGAGATCTCTTCAGTAGCCTGTTGCTCAAGGAGACTTGCATTTCAGGCTTCTAAAGGCCATAGCAATGTTTTATGAGTTTCCTATGCTGAATCACACTGAGCCTATGAGAACAATTATGGAATTTATTAACATATAGCTATTATTCCTCAGTATATCTAGACTGTTGCTCTATTAGATTTCTGAAGGACCAACTATCTCAGACAGCATCTTCATATCTCATACATTTCCTGGTTGACAAATCCACATTTCCAAATTGCAGTCAGTCTACAATGGAAAAGACCTGCAATCTATGAGATATACATGACCAGCTGGATTTGATTTTTTTAAAGATTCCAATGTTAAAATCGGTTACTGAATAATATCACAAAACATATTTCTTTTTCCACCTAAGCCACTTATTTATGGCAGTAATGTAATGAAGCACATTGATTTATGACAGTTTTTGGTAGCGACATATGAATTTCACATTGAGTTTCTTGCTCAATTAAATGCTTCCATGAAGGTGACTAAGTCATAACTTTTAACATCTGAAAGCCTAGATCTTCTGATGACTAATTATTATAATTACTATTTTTAGATTTATTTAGTGTCTTTTAAAATGACAATGTGATAGACATGAAAGACTCCAATCTTTCATAGTGCCACAAAAGATAACATAAAAATATTTAATATTCCCAAACGGCTATATGCTTTATATAAATATTAATAACTTATTAGTAAATAATTCTGTTTTACACTCAAATATTTTGAAAACCTTTTGATACCTGTATTTCCAAAGATTACATTTTCAGACTGGACTTCTAGAAGTCTGAGATCCTTTCAAAAACCTGATACTCAAGGGTATTGTGATATCAAAAAGTCATTCTCAGGTTGAATATACATATTGATTTAATCATATATATATATATGTATACACATATATATACCAATTAGTCTTCTATATTTTCAGGGATAATATTATTCCTTTTATATAAGGATAAATGATTTAGCCTAAAATATATGATCACCTAGTGTTGAGGGTGTGGTCAACAATTTTGTTTTATTGTTTAAAGAAAATCTTCCCAAATCATATAGTGAAAAATGGCATATACGTGGCAGCATATGAAAAATGCTAAATTAAAAATGAGAAAGTAACATAGGAGTGGTTAGATTTGATAGGCCTGGGTGATGATCTCTCTTCAGGATGACCTCCACATTCTCTCACTGTTGCCATTAGTAGGTGAGTTTGAGTATTCATAAAACTTTTCATGGTATAACTGACCCTCTATGCATTTGCCATTTTGTACAACAATCTAAACCTGGTTCTTTTTGCTACAGATATTACTAAAATTTCATTACTAATTATGTAGAAGAGAATAAATGCATCTGTGAAAAAGCCTTTTAAATAAGCCTTTTAGTGTAGTTATTGAAGCATTAACCACTGACCATGAAGCAATACAGCTGTTGTTCAATTTCCAGTTTCCTACTCACAATCTATGTGACTTTAGCAAATTATTTATCCATTCCATGTTACAGTTTCCTCATCTGCGATATAAGCTAATACACACCTAACTCATCGATTTTTATAAAGACTTGGTGATTTATTACTTTTAAAGTTTTCCAGTTTTTATGCACACAGAAATGTCAGGGCTTTCATTATTCCTGCTGAAGGTATTTTGTCAAACATCCAGATCATGTGTTCTTAACTTGGAGTTCATGGAATCTGTGTGTGAAATTCAGGGATTTTGAGATCCGGCATGGAAACAACACATCTTTGAAATTTCAGATTATTTTCATTGGATATATCTTTTGCAGATACATCAAAAAGCCATTTATAGTTACCTTTATTGCAAAATCATAATTATTTTGATCAACAAAACATTAGTGATTACCATCTTCCTCTCTACAGATGGCTATGCCATAAAACTGGCCATCTATTGAGCTGTATTGGGCCTGGCGATAGTCATTAGGCCACAAAACACTCAAATTCAGAGTTCTCCAATTCTGACCCAGACAAGAAGTTACTTTCCATCATTGCCCATTCACAATCATTTGCTGATCAATATGTAAAAGGCAGTTAACAACCAGCCTAGAGTTTAATGTTCAGCCATTACATTCATTACACTAATCCTTCTTGAAACATAAAACTTAACTTGCCTAGATTTAAATGCTTTCTTATTTATTGTGTTATGAGAAGCATATATATGTTACAATTTATAAAATACTGTAATAATTGTCAATATATTTCATGTTTATTGTAATACTATGTATTTCTATGTAATTTATGCATTTAAACACATATTTTGATGGGTAGTTTGTAAAACTGAACAGATCGTCCAAGTGGGCCATGGCACACACACGTGCACACACACACATTTAACTTTCAGACTCTACCTACTAAGCTGGTTTGTAAAAGCTCAAAGGACACTTTTTTTCATGAAACTTTCATGGTTTTCCCCAAATATAGTAACAGTAACTACTATATATGAAGTGACTTACTTTATATCAGGCAGGCAATTTATATATACCATTCTAATAAGTCAATACAGAAAATCTGCAGGCTATTTGTTTTAATTCTCAGTTTACAAATACAGTCCATAGAATTTCAATAAATACTTAAAACTAACCAGACTGCTACAGGTTGAATTAAAATTACAAATTATAACTTTAAAGCAATATTAGATATATTTCTGTTGTATTTATCTGTCACTTTTTTCCTTATTGTTTCTAGTACATTCTAATGCTTTATATAATTGATATCAGCCTTTTTTTGTGGCAAATGATGCAAAGATTTATACATAGTGGGTACTCACTACATATTTGTTTGACAAATCAAGGCATTGATTTTAATTCAGAGAGGGGAAGCGGAGACAAAGGAAAGTAACAAATCGAACAACATATTAAACTTGGCCGGGCACGGTGGCTCACAACTGTAATCCCAGCACTTTGGGAGGCCAAGGTGGGTGGACCACAAGGTCAGTAGTGCAAGACCAGCCTGGCCAATATGGTGAGACCGTCTCTACTAAATGTACAAAAATTAGCCGTGCATGGTAGTGGGCACCTATAGTCCCAGCTACTCAGGAGGCTGAGGCAGGAGAATCACTTGAACCTGGGAGGCAGAGGTTGCAGTGAGCCAAGATCACGCCACTGCACTCCAGCCTGGGTGACAGAGTGAGACTCCATCTCAAAAAAGCAAAACAAAGCAAAAAAAAAAAAAAACTCATAAACCCACACATTAAATATTCAGAGATTTGAGTCTTTTTCTTTGTTAATTCCTGTAGATAATACTGACTTTTGCAAATTAATTTTTTTTTTGTCTTGAGTTTTGCTTTTTCAATTTGTAAGACCTTAGAGAGTCATTTCAAAAATAGAGCTAAGCCTCTATATACTCATTTCTTAATAGTATATCATTTCCTAAAGAAAATCAAGTGTGTTTTGTTCACTGTGTAAAAATCCATAACACCAAAATAGTTTGATAAAATGAGTTATTGTATTTGTAGTTTACATTTATTCTCTAAATTAACCTACTTTTCTTTGTAGAACCTCCTAATCCATTTAATCACAATAATACTAATATTAATATTATATTAGCCATTTTCCCCCAAGAAATGTGTTCTAAATTGCTCCATAGCACACAAATGCTCTTTTCTCCCATGTTTTCCTTAAAGGAAATATATATCTAAGAGATTAAGTGAGGTTACAAAGTTCACACACTCTTACAAACCTTGATGTTAGGAATCAGATGCTTAGTCTTTCTGGCATTAACGGCATATAATTGTGATAATAGTATTATTCATTGATTTCTTTGTTTCGAACCATTTACTGTACTGAGCACGTTAACACAAATCACTTCAATTAAGCTTGACCAAAAAACAACAACAAAAAAACTTTGCTTCATTATTTCTTAAGTTTTTTCTATTAGGAAACTAAAGAATCAATAATTTTAGAATATTGCTCTAGTTTATAGAGTTCGTAATAGAGTCTTGATTGTAAACTCTAAGTATTGTCTTTTGTAGGCATGTGTTTTTAGCCATTAATCTGTGTGTTTCCTAGGAGACAGACCAATGTGTATTGCCATCCCGCCCCATGCTGGGCCTCTGTTACATCTTTCATGAAAAACCTGTTCATCATTTATTTCTCATGAAAAATCGTTGCATATTTCCTTATCATTTCTTTCTCTGTCCCCTGGGGCATTTCTTATAATAATAGTTGTTAACCATTTACTAATTGCCAGTCACTCGTCTAGATGCTGGGAACAAAACAGTGTATAAAACTAAACTCCCTTTTCACAGAATTTACATTTTAGAGATTTCCTCTTTGAGTAATGGATGATTTAAAAGAGCTTCGCTTTCCTAGATTACAATCACTAATTTTTAATTAGGTTTCATTGTAACTGGATAATACACTATAAATTGTTAATCTTTTTAAACTTATCAACATTAGGTTTATATACAGTAAAGGGTCTACCATGGTGAATATACATGAACACGGGAAAACAATGTTGACTGCCGTTTTCTAGAAATATCGATTAGTACAAAGTGTTATTTGGATCTATGTCTTTATTTTTGCTTTCTTATTATTTCTCCAGTGGTTGTATCAATTATTAAGAAACTGGTGTATAATCTTTTTCTATAATTGTGAATTTATCCATTCTTCTTTTTAATTCTGTCAGATTTGTTTCAAATATTTTGAGCTCTCTTATTAGGTATATACATTATAATTGATATTGTTTTTCTGATAAATTTTTATTTTATTTTATTTTATTATTATTATACTTTAAGTTTTAGGGTACATGTGCACAACGTAAAGGTTAGTTACATATGTATACATGTGCCATGCTGGTGTGCTGCACTCATTAACTCATCATTTAGCATTAGGTATATCTCCTAATGCTATCCCTCCCCTCTCCCCCCACCCCACAACAGTCCCCAGAGTGTGATGTTCCCTTTCCCGTGTCCATGTGATCTCATTGTTCAATTCCCACCTATGAGTGAGAATATGTGGTGTTTGGTTTTTTGTCCTTGTGATAGTTTACTGAGAATGATGATTTCCAATTTCATCCATGTCCCTACAAAGGACATGAACTCATCATTTTTTATGGCTGCATAGTATTCCATGGTGTATATGTGCCACATTTTCTTAATCCAGTCTATCATTGTTGGACATTTGGGTTGGTTCCAGGTCTTTGCTATTGTGAATAGTGCCGCAATAAACATACCTGTGCATGTGTCTTTATAGAAGCATGATTTATAGTCCTTTGGGTATACACCCAGTAATGGGATGGCTGGGTCAAATGGTATTTCCAGTTCTAGATCCCTGAGGAATCACCACACTGACTTCCACAATGGTTGAACTAGTTTACAGTCCCACCAACAGTGTAAAAGTGTTCCTATTTCTCCACATCCTCTCCAGCACCTGTTGTTTCCTGACTTTTTAATGATTGCCATTCTAACTGGTGTGAGATGGTATCTCATTGTGGTTTTGATTTGCATTTCTCTGATGGCCAGTGATGGTGAGCATTTTTTCATGTGTTTTTTGGCTGCATAAATGTCTTCTCATAATACTCCTTTTATTGAAGTCCTTTTTATGTTAATATATCTTCTCCAAGCTACATGTGCTGATTCTTTATTTGAAATGTATTTTCTAGCAATTTAATTATTACCTATTTTTGTATATTAAAAGTGGATTCCTTGTAGCCAATAAGAAGTTAGATCTGGCTTTTAAAAATTGACTTTGTCAGTCTATCATCTCTTCCTTTAGTCCTTCAAATCTGTTTCTCACTAGTATAATTTCCACCTAGTCTGAGAAATTTCCTTTATAATTTCATGTAGAACATAACTATTATTCTCTTGATTTTTTATTCACCTGAATATGTCTACTTCACATTCTATTGAAGGTTATGTTCAATGGGTACAGAATACTAAAATGACAGGTGTTTTATTATGTCTTCTTTTTTTTCTTCTTTTCTTTTTTTCCTTTCTCTATGAAATTTGAAAATATTGCTCCTCTGTCTTCTAGTCATGGTTTCTGACAATCCATTCAAATTATTACTTCTTTATGTACAATGTTTCACTTTTCTCTAGGGCTGTGAAGACTTTTTCTTTATATTTGCTTTTTAACATTTGATTTAATGGATATAGGCATAGTTTTCTTTGACTTTATGTTGCAGAATTTTGCTCCTTAGTTCAGCTAAAACCTAGGTTCTCGTCACATGACCAGGAAAATTTAGGAATGCAGACATATTGAAGGGTTAGTAGAACAGGGTTTTATAGGGCAAAAAGAAAAATAAAACTTTCAGCAAAGCAAGAGGGGTTCCTGCTAACAGGTCCTCACCTCACAGATCGATTCCCACATTACCACAGGAGCTGAAGAGAGCAGGCTCCTCCCCTGCATAAGGCATGACATCCACGTGGCTCCATCCACTTCCTCCAGTGTGCATTTTGGGCTCCAGTCCACTGTGGGCATACCCAGACAAGCCCTGGGAAGTTTCCCTCATCTACACAAAAGCATCTGATGTAAACACTTGTGTGACGGGTTGGAAATTTTCCAGGTACACCTTTTTATCTGCCTAGGCATTTGGCTGTCTCATTCCCCCCTCTAAAGAAGTACCTCTAACTGCCATTAGAATAAGGATAAAGATAAGGATGAAGACCAATCTTAATTGCTTCCTATTGTCAGGGAAGCTGTTTTGGGAAAATGGCAATCAGATTTCCCTCAGAGGCCTATTTCAGGGTTCCCAGTAAAAAAGGCCATCATCCAAGGCTCCAGGTGCAGACTGGAGTTTGATGGCCTAAAAGTGAGAAGAGACAAACAGGTTATTAGAAAATATGTATCAAAACGAAACAAGCAGTGGGTAAGGACAACTAGAAAATCCAGACGCCTTTTACCAGTTTGCACAGGGAGAGAGAGGCCAAAAGCCCAACGGGGAAAAAAAACCTTTTACCCTTTTGCTGGCATGTCATGTTTCTGTGTTCCCTTCCCCTGAACCTAATCCTAAGCCAATTAGTCTACGGTTTGAGAAATTAACTCCTCCCAGTTAGAAGGATGCATCTGAGGGAAGTGTTCTGTGGTATGGGACACCATTACCTACCTACCAGTGAATAGAGGACAGAGGAAGAAAAAGGAAAAAAGAAGGCATTTTTTTCAGAAGAGTCCCAGGGGTTCAGGACATGTTCTAAAAGGGTGCAGACTAAAGATGAATGGCTACTCATCTAGAAATAGGGGAGCATGTGTGCCTGGTTCCTTTCTTTTTCTAGCAAATACTCAGGGTGTGTGAGGGAGAGAAAGTGAGTTGTTCCTCTTTCTTTCCTCTGTCCCTGTATTGCTGAGTCCCACCAACTGTGACAGGGTGCCACCCATGGGTGTCAAAGTGGCTTTCATCCATGTTAACAGGGGGTCTAGGGGATGGGAATAGCTGCCCTGTCTTATGTCCTCCCTATCTCCCCTGCTGGCAGTAGCCTTTTAGTTCTCTAGACCTCATTTATGCCATGGATACTAGCATGACCTTTATCCATGAAACAGGAAGCTTGGCTTAATCAGCGGGAATTAGTCATGCTCACCTGTGCTGTGCCTTTTGACTTTCATTATTGTCTGGCTTCTGGATCCCTAAGATCCAGTTTTCTTAGGCCTTTGACACAAAGCTTGGAATTAACTTTGGGACCAAAAACGTGTCTCAGCATGGAAGTTGCATAGACTCCTTAACATAAGCCATAATGCTAAAGTGAAGCTGTGGAAATGAGTTCTCCTCCAACAAAGGAAAGAAAAGAGTGTCTTGTGACACACCCAGATAACTGGTGGCTATAGTTATGCTTGCTCAGATTTGGGTGTATGGGGTTTTACTTTGGTTAGCTCCCTTGGTTTTACTTTCCCAAAAAGTAAACCTCCGGATCATGGGCATCCTATTTATTCCCATCAGCTGGCAGGATTTGCAGGATAATTGTTCAGAACTAAAATACTGATCCAGGTTTTTACATTACCCATTCTCTTTTGTCCTTTCTGAGCTGCAGCCAGAGATTGTTGGTTGGTTCACAGGCACAAGCAGGGTCAGTCTAAAATGTAGGTAAAAACTTAAAAAGAAATAATAAGTCTAGAAACTAATGATGATAAGTTTTGAAACATAATTTCTCTCTGTCTCGTCCTCATTTCTGTTAAAAACAAATCATAATAGGAGTGTGTTGCTTGCAATATAGACTTTAGTCTTATAATTGGCTTGATTATGTGCATAAAGTGCAGCAAAAACAATTATTTCTACGTAGGCCCTCTAGATTGGCTTTCATGAAAATCTGTTTCACAAAGAATCTCAGATAAGACCATTTAAAGCTGAGCCCAGCCCTAGGTTTTTATCCTCACACACCTATGAATTGGGTAAACTCCTCTCTTCTTGAGGTCCCAAGAGCATATGATATCTGGGCCTGTTGGAAAGTGACATTCTTTACTCACCGCAGGTTAAGAACCCTGTATGTGGACTGTGTAGACAAACATTTGAGGCCAGTTTTCCCAAGGGGTTCCCATCAGTTCTGCAAGTTGAGCTTGACTGCTTAAAGGGAAGCACACATTTCCAATCAACGCCTGGTAAAACAACCAGTTTCTCCAATTGCATTCTGTTGCAAAAGAAAAAGGATTCTTATTGCACTGATGCAAATGACTATACTGCCATAAGTTAAGAATACTCAATATTAGTTTCCAAATTCTGGAGAAGCCAGGCAGAGAGAGACAAATAATGCTCCAAATTTTGTTCACAGGAGTACACCTTACTCAATTATTAAAGGTCATAAATAGTTCAAAATAAGTTTCCTGGACTCTGAAAAACAAAATAATGATCAGCAATATTCCAAGCAAAAGCTAAAACGATTACTTCAGTTTTCTATTAGTTCAGTCCATTCAGTTAACTCTTGTTTTGCTTGCTATCCATGAACATTTCAATTTTCATGAGCCCTGTATGTTTTTCCTTTATTCCAATGTCACAATCTCCAAAGTTATCAGAAGCCTGCATTTGAGAACACCTGTCAAAGTTCCATAGCTGATTATAAACATCATGTGAAGAGGATAGGATCAAAACAAGACAACAATGGTTTGTGAGTAACAAAATGTCCAGGGTAGTTGCAGTCAGAAACATGATTGACAAATAAATTTGGTTATCTCCATGGTTTACAATAATTTAACATAATAGCTATAATTATGATTGATAGTATATGCTCAAACATTAGAATTTTTTAAATCCCATAAAAGTTTGGAACTATACATTAGTATTATTATTAGTACTATTAGTATTATTCACAAAAATACAACCGAAAAAGGATTGAACACCGTTTTGTCAATCCCATGTACCTAAAACATACCAGATAATCCATTTACCTTACTTTTTTTGATGCTGCAGGTGTCCTCTGTAGCATCCAAAAGTCTGGTATCAAGAAAGACAATTTTGAAACTGAAGTTTGATTTTGGGAAGGCTGTTAAGTATGTTAGGGATTTAAAATACTTGATGTTATGAAATAGGATTCCAGATTACCATGTTATTTACTTTGCTAAAATGATGACTCAGAAATTCTAAAAGCAAAAATCTGTTATAACACTTTACAAATTTTGCTGAAGAGTAGCTTACTGCTTTAAGAGTGCCTTGTTATGCTTTTATTTCAATGCTGAATTTACAGAAAAACCATATAATATTCTTTGAATTTAGTCAATATGTTCACACATGGGATTTCCTTTGCAAGGTTAATTTTTGCAATCCTTCCACAACTTGTTTGAACTTTTACTGTTATCTTATTTAATTCAAAACAATCTTTTAACCTTAGGCAGAATTTTACATTTCTATGCCTTCTTATAATCTTTTACTAAAAACATATTTTACTGTTCTCACATAACTCAAATGTAAATATATTTTTAGTGGTCTCAATTACATGTTATAATGGTAACTCCTAGCAATTTTTACCTTTAAAGTAAAACCTGGTAAGTTGTTTTAATTATGTGCTAGGGGCAGCCAAGGTTTGACTCCTTCCAGCACAACTAAGGGCGTGGTTAGTAACATATGTCTCCGGGCCTTACCAGTTGTGAAGCCAGCAAATTGAATCATTCTCAAAAAGCATTTTATAGCCTTAAAACATTTAGCAAACCTAGTATCTGACGTGCATAATTTAGTCCACCTATTTAAATTTTGATGACATATGCATTTCACCAAATAATCTTTAAGGCTGTTTTTATTTCTCAAAGATTAAAGTCATGAGAACTAAAAGCTACCACAGCTTTTATCTTTCCATTAAAAAATATTTGATCCAAGTGCTTATTTTTCTTTAGGCCAATTAATTAGAGCTGTTTTTATAAACATCACAAATACAACACATATATAACTACACAGCCAGGCAGAAGAAAACTCAGCAGCCACAAGGTTTTTCATTTGCCAGTCTCCTAATAGGATTATTGTCCTCCAGGCGGATCCCTTTAAGAGACAGGGCTAGGAAAACATGCTGCTTCTAGGGCGTAATAAACAGGCATAATTGGGAAGCAAAAACAGATTTTGAGAGGGATCTATCTGCTTTTAATTCCTGGGGTTCCATGAGGAAAACAGATTTCTTCCCAAAAAGGGGTCAGTGGTGCCTTCTGTTTTTCTCAAGGAGTCCCATGCACCCCAGAGTTACCTTAGAGCCTCACGTGCATGCATCAAGAGTGGCAAGACAAAATGGAGAAAAAGAATTCGGCCAACTGAGAAAAAACCCTTTTTCCAGCAAAACAAAATCCAAGGGGGAAAAAAATTAAATAAATAAAGGCCTTTCAAATATGCCTATAACTTGGATATACACTTTTAATTAAGCTGTGTGCTCTTTAAGAAAATTGTTTTAAATCCCTTGTTATCTGGTTTTAGTTATGCCGAGCAGCCAATATTTCTGGCTTTCAAACTTTACTAAAGGCTCAGGGAAAGAAAAATCCAAGGCTGTTGAGGGGAAAAGAATCAACAAATTGCAAAGGTCATCCAGATATCAAATCAGAAGGAGTTTATTCCTTAAGCCAGGATTGAACCCAGCTGCCACTGTAAAATGGTGGAGGCTAAACGAAACATTGCCATGAGGTTACAGGTCACACTTGAAAGACGTAAAACTAGATGGAGACCTGCGGCAAAGTTGCTACTGACCATACAGAAAGCCATGCAAAGCACACTAGATTGGCTACAGATTAAAATCAACCTCATGAATCATTTTTAATAATTAAAACTTTACAGAGAATATAAACAGTGATCCTTATAATTCCTGGCCTAGTAAAATGTCTTCTAAAAGGAAAAAAAAAAAACAAAACTCTCACTTAAAAGTTAACTGCTGGCAGGGTAGAGAAAGGCAGAAAAGTTTAAAGTGCAGAGTTGGAAAGATGCCTGCAGGAAGAAAATCTTATTCTTATGGAAATGGGTTCCTCCAGCAGGGCGAGGAACTTAAGAGGGGAGCAGGGAGCCTCTGGTTCACCTGTCTATCCCTTAAAAACAGGAAAAGGCTGATATTCCCGACCGCTGGAAGAGACAGGAGTGGAGGGGAGGGAGGTACAATTTCCCCTACTCTCAGAAAAAGTCCGACGACACAAAGGCTTAGAAGGTAAAGGAAAAAAAGGGGCGTTTTTGTTCGCATCTTACTCACCATTTCTCAAGCCCCGTGTTTGGGTGCCAAAATGTTGCAGAATTGTGCTCCTTAGTTCAGCTAATACCTGGGTTCTTTTCACACGACCAGGAATATTTAGGCACACGGGCACATTGAAGGGTCAGTAGAGCAGGGCTCTATTGGGCAAAAAGGAAAACAAACAAAAAACTATTTGCAAAGCAAGAGGGGTTCCTGCTACATAGCACCACCTCACACATTGATTCCCAGGTCACCACAAGAGCTCAAGAGGGCAGGCTCCTCCCCTTTGCAAGGCATGAATTCCTCATGGCTCCACCCACTTGCCCCAGTGAGCATGTCAGGCTCCAGTCCACTGTGGGCATGCCCAGACAAGCCCTGGGCAGGTTCCCTCATCTGCACAAAAGCATCTAATGTAAACACTTGTGAAGAAGGCCAGAAATTCTCTAGGGACCCCTTTTTATCTGCCTAGGCATTTTGCTCCCACTTACACTATTTGGAATTTGCTGAGCTTCTTTCATTCGTAAATGTATGTCATTGACTGTACTGCAGATTTTGAAAGTCTTTGGGTATTTAGAAGTATGCCCCAATTTTAACTTTGGGTACCGAAATTACAAATACGTTAGACCTTTTAATATTGTCCTTCACGTTTTGAGGTTTCCTTATTTTTCTGTTTCAAAGTATCTCTTTAGTCTCATTCATTGTTCTGTGTTCTTTATATTGGGGAATGGCTATTGATCTATTAATTTGTACCATTTTCTTTATATTCAAAGTTGATTCCTTGTAGGCAATAAGAAGTTAGATCTGGCTTTTTGGACATACTATTTTATGTTCAACATATTTTCCTACTATTATTCTTTTTTTGCTGTTGAACTTAATAAATGTTTAATTTCAGATATTTTATTTTTCATTTAAAAAATTTCCATTTGCTTCCTTTGTAACATTCCTTTGTCTCTGCTAATATTTACTGAATGTCCATTACTTGTTTTTGTTTTTGCTTTTTTCCTAGCCAAATTGACAGCAGAGTGTCTAGCAAGACTTGTAGTCACCTATGCTTTTCCACTCTGTGAATGGGAAAAAATATCCCAAGGAAAAAAAAAATAATGCAAATCACTTTAATAACAGTTGCTTTTTCAAATTTTGGCATCTCTTAAAAAAAACTAACTTGTTTATTTTCAGAGTTTTCAATTAGGGTATTTTTAATTTACTTTTTTTACTCTAAAAAATGTATCCAAAGTTCCCCGTCTCTACTTAGAAAAACTACAAAAATTAGCCAGGCGCGGTGGCAAGCGCCTGTAATCCCAGCTACTCAGGAGGCTGAGGCAGGAGAATCACTTGAACCCAGGCAGCAGAGGTTGAAGTGAGCCGAGATCTTGCCACTGCACTCCAACCTGGGCGACAGAGTGAGACACCGTCTCAAAAAAAAAAAAAGTATTCAAAGTTTATAGTTACAATTAGTAGGATGGATGGACTATGGGGAGCTTTCACTGCCAAAGATGAACCAGAATTTCAGGGTTGTATTTTTGCTTTTGTTTTTATTTTTTGAGATTAACTTTAAAATAACTTTATTAAGTCTGCTTTCTGATATTCCACTTACTATAAAAAAGAATTTTATCCAAACAATAAATTAATTTTAATAGACAGGTTTAGAATATTTGTTATTTAGTGTTCATATAAAGAAAACAAATATAGATTTTATTTAGTCTTCTTGTCCTATTATACACATATAAATATATAATTAAAATAAAGCTCTTTAATTTTGTTCCATTTGATCGTGTATTTGTCTTATAGAACCCTTTCTATTTATTGTTTTCTTCCTTCCATTTTGTTGCAATAATGAAACATTGTTATCTATCATTTACTCTCTAAGTACTTTGCTGGTATAAGGACAGGTTATAAACTTTGTATAAATACTTATACTTAACTGATTTCTTAAACTTTAATTTTTTTCGAAGACATAGAATTATGTCATTTAAATTATTTTGTATCAGGCTTTCCAATTTTTTACAACTTAGTTGCTTTTATTTAATTTCATGATCAAGTTAATAAAAATTGAGACATTTCATACAATTTTATCTTTACATATTATACTGGGCTTTGTAGCATCCATTGAAATAATTAATGACATTATCTTAACATTTTTGGAGGTAATATTAATACAATAGATTTCTCCTCATTGATGCACTGTCTCACATGAAGAGAGAATGCTCTATCTCTATTACTGATGCTTCCTCACTGTAACACTTTGTTACCTATCCACTCCTAATTTCATTCTATTCATGATGTGTAGATGAGTTAATGTTAATTGATAAGTTGAGGAAGACAAATTCTTTATAAAGAATACAACTCTCTGTTTTATTTTTCTTTGGAACTAAGAGATTCTCAAAGGCCATATGCACTGCTGTTTCCTCTGGCCCATAGTAAAACAGCTTATTCCTGGGGAAGAATCTGTTTAGACAGAACACCCTTGAACAATTCTGGAATCTAGCATTATAAGCTCCCTTCCCCACAAGAAAGCACTAATCATGTAGAATCTGGTTTAACTTTACTGGTTTCTTATCCAGTTTCTCATTTGATTAAGAACTTGGGCATACAAGAGTGGTGTTATTTATCAACCCCCTTGGTACACCAGCATTTTATTGCTCTTAATTTAATTGAGTATACTATCAATCAACTGAGTTTTACTTAATCATATATGAGATATTCTGATATTTTTAGTAATTGTCAACAAATTTTATTGTGTTTTCTTAGAATAAAAATATAAATTTTTTGTTACTTTAAATTTTGAAGCATTTTTATTGCCTTTACTGGTTATTCTTTGAACATTTTCCAATGTAATTGAGTGATTCTGTTTTCTTAACTTTGAATCAATTCAGATTTTTATAAATTATATGTAAATATCTCTGAGAAGTTGCAAGTAGCCAACTTTCACACTCACATGGGATGTGTAAAATAGAAAACTATACTATGGGTCCACTGTAAATATATACTAGAATAATACATTCTATCTTGTCTGACAAATAAATTTTCATTAATATTATAAATATTTGCTATAATGGTGGCTACAGTTTTTTTTGACTCATTAGTAACAACGGTATGTTTCACATGGTAAAGTCTGAGTCAATTTGAAAATCATGTTAGTTACAACTCTCACTGATAATAAATGCTATTTTGGTTTGGCATTTTTTCATTCTTTCAAATTAAGGCAATGAAAACTAAAAATCAAAGCGTTTGATGTGCTGAAATTACTCTAAAGTGTGTATAGTGATTTAAAATCATTGAAAGGCTTTACATTTTATGGGTACTCTACTGTGGAATTTAGAGCACTTTGATAATTTTAAATTACTCTTCACTACACAAAGCAATTTAAATTTATTGGAAACGAAATCTGGAAGAGTTCAAATTCTGGGCAATGTTGTACATATTGCTTGAAAATTACTAAGAGCACTTAAGCGTTTTTTATATGCACTTCATTTAAAGGTGATCCAAGATTTAGTGTGGAATGATATAAAAACATTTGGAAGTGCTAGAGTCACTGTAGCTTCAATTCTAATTCAGAAAATTTAAGTTTTCTGATAAGTACATTAATTTAATATTATTTAACTTCAAATATTCATAACATGATATTTAAAATATAAAAATATATTTAAAAATATTTTTGTAATGGTCTTATTTTTTCCGTCTTTTTACAATTTATTTCAGGGAAATTAGTGAAGCTCCACTGATTATAATTTGAAAAATTCAGAGCTAAGTTCAGATAAATTCTGATTCTATTAAAATGGTGCCACCAAATGGTTTCATTATATCTATTATATATGATATCATTATATGCTACTACAAGAAATTACATTATTGGGCAAACTATCCCATCTCAATATAATATGCATCCATTATAATTAAATCCATTATTTTACTAAGTTAAATAAAAATATTTAAACATATACAAATTATTCTGCAAATTTGAATGTCTCTTACATTAATAATTGGTAGCCTCACACATGAATAGAATTTTCAGTGAGAGATACAATCTTCAGGATGATGATGTTTGAAAAAGTGAATATTAAAAGCATTCTAACTCATGCCTTAAAACCTTTTAGCAGTGGGTTTCTCTCCCTGATATAGCTTCAAGTTTATGTACAAAGTAACATGCTGAGGAACAGCAGTAACTAATCCGTGGTTTTGTCTGCACATTATAAGAAGTGTCATTTAAAAATAGATCTTCCCGTGCACAATATTCTCCTGAACCTTAAAGAATGGGGGATTTTCTCATTTTATTTCAGAAGAAGTAGGCCCTTAAGCATTTTGTCAGCATTTCAGGAGTGATGAATAAGCTGGCTTGAAGTACTTCATGCATACGTTTTAATGATTAGAAGGGACTATAATTCTCTCTAGCCTACCTACAATTCTATAGGAACTAAACTCCTGAAACTGAATCTGCATTATCTAGTAGGCATCTTTATAAATGAATTTAGAAATGCTGCACACAGTATTTGCCTCCAGTGACATTCATTCTAATTAAATTCCAAATAAAATAGTGTGGGTGTAAACCAACCAGAAGCTTTTTTCACTACTGAAAGGCAGAGAAAATCCTTAAATAGGTTCCCTTTCATTGCTAGTGACTCTGAAATGACATTGAGAATTGTCCATTCACAGCTTCTTTTTTTATAAGAAGGGATTCAACTTAAATTGTCTATGCCTTCAAGACATTCACTACAGCGTCCTTGCAACAAAGTAACAGGAGAGTCAAATTCATGTATATCACATGAAAACACTAAAAATGTGATCTATCTGGAAAAGAGTATTCAATAGCTTATTTGAATATGTTAAGCAATCATAATTTAAATGCTTTGACGAAATTCGGAAGATGCAAGTGCCTCTCTCATTGTTTGGAGACATCAAAATTGATTTTAATTTTGATTTGTGATGGACTGTCTCACTTAACACTTCCTGAATATGTTAATTTGATAGAGCAGTATTAGAAGACACTTAGTTACAATATGTTTTTAAAACACTCATGTACCAAATGTTAGAAACCCAACTCAACGTCATAGAATTATTATAGGGAAAAACAAAGAAATACTTTTAGACTTGATTTTTGAGAAATAGTTGCCAAGGTAGAAGTAGGAGAGATGGAAGTGAAAAATAAGTGGCTTATGAAATTATTTACTTTAGCTTGCAAGGAAAAACATTACTCTTGTTAAATCTTAATGAAAAGGACACTCAATTTGATTGTCAAGGATTGCATAGTTTGAAAAACACTGGTATCTATAAACAATTTCTTCCTAACATAAGAAATTGTTTGAGGAACCTCAAGCCTAATTGCCAAATTGTGAATATGACGAGACTTGACTCTTACATTATTATTTACACAGTTTAACCTCTTTCCATTTTAGTAAAGTCAGCATTTTTAAAGAATAAAAATAACAAATAGAAAGGTATCAAGGGGTGAGAGTAAATAAACAAAATCTCATGGACAATAATATAAAAGGAAGAGTGTAGAGAAAAATGACAGAGGCATTAGGTTTGGAACTAAGGCAAGGAAACTGCTGAAAAAAAATTTGGCTATAATAAAATTATCCCCAGAAAAAATAAAACATTTTTGTTTATCTATAGGCAATGAGAAAGTAAGGAAAAAAATTGGTAAAACTGAAATCAGGAGGCTTATGAAAATAAATTAAAGAGGACAGGAAGAAAAAATGAAAATACTCAATCTCAACTCACAGAGTAAGCTCTGCAACCACTTCAATTTCAAGGGATTGATATTTCTGGTAGTTAGATATTAACAAAAATTGGAGGTCTATTGTTATTCAGTAGATTGATAGATTGACCCATTGGGGTATAATGTAGACATAGGGGTCAAAACACCCTCTATTTATATAGTTACATAATTTTATGTTAAAAATATATGGCGAGTGAAGAAAGAACAAATAATGAACACATTATGTAAGTTGCAAATTATGTAAGAACTATAATTTTTAGGAGACTTTGTATTTATATATACTACTCTTTTGGCTCTTGACTTTTACATATCTATGAGTATTCTTATTTCTAAGTCAATGTGAAATTGTGCAGTGCTCACACATTTGCAGAATCAAAATATTTATGGTTTGTGTCTTTATTAATTCTTTTTTCCATAAGTTTTAAAATGTCTAGATTTGTTCTTTTTTTAGAATTATGTGTAATAACCAAATAGTATCTCTTGTTTGTTTGTTTTTTTTCTGTGAATGCCCAGCCTTTTTCACTTAACTGCATATATTATTTATTAAAATTAGTTGTTTATTTAGGAAAGCTCTTTCTATTTTCAGGTTGGTACAAAAGTAATTGTGGTTTTTGCATTGTTGAAATTTGTCATTTGATATTGGAATACGTTCTTAAATAAATGTAGTTATGTTATACATCATTTTAAGGGGAATTTCTCACTTCATTTCTTTTTTTGCTAATGACTTATTACTTGCTGTTTATTTTATGTTTATTTTAGACTATGGAATTGATGTCAGACAAAAAGCAAATTCAAGCGACTTTCTTATTCGCGTTTAAACTGAGTCACAAACCAGTGGAGAAAACTCGCAACAACAACAACGCATTTGGCCCAGGAACTGCTTACAAACATACAGTCAGTGGTGATTCAAGAACTTTTGCAAATGAGATGAGAGCCTTGAAGATGAAGAGCTAGTGGCTGGCCATCAGAAGTTGAAAACGACAAATTGAGAGCAATTATCAAACCCAATCCTCCTACAACTATACGAGAAGTTGCCGAAGAGCTCAACGTCAACCATTCTACAGTCGTTTGGCATTTGAAGCAATTGTGAAAGGTGAAAAAGCTCAGTAAGTGGGTGCCTCATGAGCTGAGCGAAAATCAAAAAAATCTTCAATTTGAAGTGTCATCTTCTCTTATTCTACCCAAAAACAATGAACCATTTCTCTATTGGATTGTGATGTGGGACAAAAGTGGATTTTTTACAGCAACTACTGAAGACGAGCTCAGTGTGAGAAGAAGCTCCAAAGCACTACCAAAAGCCAAACTTCCACCAAAAAAAGATAATGGTTGCTGTTTGGTGGTCTGCTGCTCGTCTGATCCACTACAGCTTTTTGATTGAACCATTACATCTGAGAAGTATGCTCAGGAAATTGATGAGATGAGCTGAAAACCGCACCACCTGCAGCCGAATTGGCCAACAGAAAGGGCCCAATTCTTCACCACAATGCTTGACCACAGATTGCAAAACCAACACTTCAAAAGCTCAAGAAATTGGGCTACTAGGCTCAACAAATTGCCCCATCCACAATATTCACCTGACGTCTTGCAAACCGACTACCACTTTTTCAAGCATATTGACAATGTTTTGCAGGGCAAATGCTTCCACAACCAGCAGAATGTAGAAAATGCTTTCCAAGAGTTCATTCAATTATGAAGCACAGATTTTTACGCTACAGGAATAAACAAACTTACTTCTTGTTGGCAGAAATGTTTTGATTGTAATGGTTCCTATTTTGATTAATAAAGATGTGTTTCAGCCTAGTTATAATGATATAAAATGCACAGTCTGAAACCACAATTACTTTTCCAACAATTGAATATTTTCACTTTATCAAATGATGTGAAATTTTAATTTTATTTTTATAGTCTCTTAAACTTCTTGTTGAATTCTGAGACATAGTTGCATAGTAATTGATAAATGACTATTTTAATGAACTTAATTTGTATCTGAATTTTACACATTTAACTTCTTTGAGAAAAAGATTTTAAGCCTAGCAATAATACAATATTCAAAAAAAGTTTCTTTTTTTGGAACAGAAAAAAACTTTGGCACATATACTTTAAATCACATTGCAGTACATCAATGACTTTATAATAATAAAATGAGACAGAGAGGAAAAAGTCATGAATAGTTTCCTCTAAAACAAGTATCCAGTAACAATGTGAAACTCAAGATTAATTGACAGTATTTGTAGATTCTAGTAATTATGTCTTTAAATATATGATGTTTTGTCAACTCTTTCTGTCCTATGATGTCAAATCAAATCTAACGGAGAGTATATTATTTTACATATATACACATATCTTTTCATCCACAGTTCTTGGCTCATAACTCCCATAGTCCTTATTATTTCCTAAGTGAGTAAAACAATAAGCATATATTTTGTCAAAGTATTTGGCCTTTTTTCCTTGGTTCCTGAATAGCTTCAGAACGATAAAAGTAAAAGGCAATCTTTTCTTATAATGTGCTGTAAGCCTCGGAAGCGGGCCTCATAAAACAGCATCTCTCTCTGACCTTCTCCTGCCCTTCTTTCACCTGTTCCTTTTTCTCCTCAAAGCAGCCCATAGAAACTGAAAATATCCCCTAATCTTCAACTGCCTTTCTGTCTTGGAGCCAGTTATAAAGAAATTCTCTAACCTACCGTGTCTGATTGTGGGTCATGAGACCCCTGTTACATAAGGCATCTAGTCCTTTCTGGAGGAAGGAATGCTGAGCAGAGAAGCCAAGGAGAATCCGAGCAGACAGGCCTTTCTGGGTTTCCTCACTGAGTCTGCTAGTATTACCGTACTTCAATCGTGCCTATCAGTGAAGTCTCCATAGAGGCTCAGAGGGTGGGGTATGGAGAGCTTCTGGACAGCTGAACTTCTGCAGGTGCCTGGAGGATGGTGCACGCCGAAGAGTGCAAGGAGGCTCTGTGCTCCTTCCCTCCATCCTGAATCCCAGATGCAAAACGCATCTCAACTGCATCTTTTAAAACAGCCTTTGTAATAGGTAGTAAATAAAGTACATGTTTGCCTGAGTTCTGTGAACTGCTCTTACAAATTAAATAAAAAAAGGGTTGTAGGAACCCCAATGCAACCAGTCAGCCAGAAGCACAAGAAAAATAACCTGGGCATGCAATTGTTACTGTAGGTGGCATTCAGTCTTGTGGAACTGAGCCCTCAGCCTGTATGATCTCATGTTATCTCCAGTTAGTGTCAAATTGAATTGAAGTAGAGGACATCCAACTGGTTTCCTCTGCAGAATTAACTGCTTGCTTGATATGTGGTGGGAAAAAAACCCACGTTTGGTCACAGAAGTCTTCTGTGTTAATTATTATGATAGGAGCACAAAGGAAAACCTTTTTTTTTTTTTCTACTCAGGGACCCTCCTTACAGCTCTATCTTTTGAGAAATTAAATGTATAAAATTGTCTTATGGCACTGATAGTATCTACGAACTGCTTCATGTATTATCAATACTATTTGTCACGTATTTCAAAACAAATTTCTGTAATATTTTGAAGTACTGTGTCCGGAGTTGCTTCCTTCTGGTGGCTTCTCGGTCTCGCTTTTTTCAAGAATGAAGCCGCAGACCTTTGCAGGCAAGTGTTACAGCTCTTAAAGGTGGCATGTACCCACAGAGTGAGCAGCTGCAAGATTTATTGTCAAGATCGAAAGAACCAACCTCTCCCACGTTGCTGCTGCTGGCTAGGGTTGCCAGCTTTTATTCCCTTATTTGACCCCACCCATGTCCTGCTGATTGGTCCATTTTACAGAGTGCTGATTGGCCCATTTTACAGAGTGTTGATTGGTCCATTTTTTCAGAATGCTGATTGGTGCATTTACAATCCTCTAGCTAGACAGAAAAGTTTTCCAAGTCCCCACCTGACCCAGAATCCCAGCTGGCTTCACTTCTCTGTATCAAATCCTCTGAAAGTAGTGAGAGTCTATACTAGTTATTTTGGAAGATTAATAAGAAAAATGAGAATATTAACTTAAAAAATATTGGTATAGATAATGTAACTGGTTGTTAATTATGGTTGGTTGTTCTTTGGTTATCATTAGCTATTGATTGAAAAAGTCAAACATTATGTTAGAGAATGAATGGATAGATAAACCAAAATGACAGCATTTACCTTTATACCAAACAGTGTTCTTTTCTTGCTAGTATCATGAAGAATTTAAAGAAGGTAATTTATTGTGAAGGTCTACGTTTGCCATTTATTTTAAATTTGTCTCTTTGAAATAGTTCCCTCTGATAAAATATTATTATTGCATTTTACTAATCAAGAAGCTGAGACTGAAAAACATCAAGTGGCATGCCTAAATCATAAAATAAGGAGAGCTAAAATTTAAAACGAGATTTGTGTTAACTTCAAAATAATTATAATTATATAATAATAATTCTACTATATCGTGTTAGCTCTCTGAAAGCCAACTCTTGCTGCTCTGTTGACAAGCTTTGAAATATATAAATATTTCACAAAGTGTAATAGCAAGCCACAGTACAAAAAGGCTTATAAAGTTGAATGAGAGAAAGTCAAGTATCACACTTCAAACAGCTACACTTTTCTCTCTGATCTCTCCCTGAAAGAAATATATTACTCAAATAATGTTGAAACATTGTATATAAAGCTTGAGGACACATTACAAAAAAGGATGATATGCTTCGGGCACAAGCATTGCCTTGCTATCAGTCAGTGAAAAGCTCTGATTATAAACAGATAAACTCAGAGTTAGATGTACAAAAGCATGTTGTACAAAGTAATGATAAGCCTTATTAGATGTGTCATGCCAAATTTTGGACACACCAAAAATGCTTTCCATGGAATCCCCTGCTCTGAGAAGTGTTGAATCTACAATATGCAGATAGTTATGACAGAACTTACTTTTACAAAGCCTTCCTGTCCTCATTGATTTGTTCTGCTATTTCGGTTACTTGCTATTACAAAGTTTTTGTAAATGTGTGATCCCATAGACTCTCAGTTATGATTAATTGGCAGGTCTATCACTGTGCCAATATCACATTATTTTAATTATTCTAGCTTTATCGTAAAGCTAAATCATAAATCTTATAGATTAAGTCCTCATCTACCGTATTCTGTCAATATTTCTTGATAATGGCAGCTCCTTTAATATTCTGTATAAAGGTTTCAATCAGCTTGTAAGTTTGAAGAGTAAAAATACTTTAAAGGCATTTATTAAAATTGTATTGAATACATAGATATAATTAGGTGTACTGAAACTGTTATGGTATGTTAAAATTTACATAAACACTTTATCTCTCATATAATTGTTATTTATCCTTAATAAATTTTATAGTTTTTAACAAATGACTTTTATAATAAGTATTAGATATATTTATATGTTCCTTACACTTTTTATTACTCTATTAAAACTTATGAATAAAATTGCAATTTCTAATTGGTTGTTTAGTAAATATAAAACATGATTTTTATATATCTCTAGCAACATTATGACATTTCAAGTACTAATCTGTTTTGGGGTTTGGGGGAAAACTATATCATCAATCTATAAATGACAATTTTTTTCTTCCACTTGGTAATTAAATTCTTTTTTCTTGAGATATTGTGCTACCTGGCCAGGTATTTTACACACACACACACACACACACACACACACACACACACACACAATGATGTATGTATACATATCATTATATATCATTTTTATATTTTACCTGTTTCTAAATTTTAAGAATGGCATATATTTGTTTCAGCAAATAATTCATATTATAGGTCAGAAAGAAAACCTGAAAGGAGATTTTTTCTGAATTGTGTTTATAAGCACAATTTTTAGTTATATGCATATTTCAAAAATCTTACTGTCCAAAAAAAAGCTTTCAAAAATTAAGGCATTGTAAAAGATCATTATGCCCTATTATATGCCAATACATCTTAAAATCTTATTGTTCTCTTGTGGTGGAAATTTTCAAATTAACTTATGGAAAAAAGGGTAGATAATATGAGTAAAATAGTGTATTGAAAAAATAATATCATCATAGTCAAATTTTTAAAAATTCAAAAACCAGAGTTTAGCAAGTGAATTATCTTAAACCTCCAATAAATGGAAGTTACAGAGGAATTTGTTTTAAAGAGAGAGTAGTGTCAACTGAACTAAAGGTTGGTACATACACAGAGCACACAGGCACACACACACAAGTGAAAATTACAGATCAATATCCCAGGCAAAATATATGTAATTTTCAGTAAAAAATTCAATTGTATAGTTTTATAAAATAAAGTTTATTTCAGAAGTAAAATAATTAAACTTTATGTAATGAACTAACCCATAATTTACTAGTAAACACTGACCAAAAAAGGACAAATTTTGCATTATTTTAAAAAAAGTTACGGTTTCTTTGAAATCATGAAAACATTTCAACTCCTCAGTGTTACATTTAATTAAAAAGTTGTAACTTGGTCATTTATTTGTCTATTGATCAATTTGTCAATCAACCTCTGTATTTATTTATATATTGCTTCCATATAAGAAATAATAAAGTATATCATCTTTCAATATTTTATTGGTTTTAACATTATCAATATCAGAGCATAATTTTTCAAAATGTGTACTTAAAATAATTTTAAAACTTATTAACAAAACAGACATTTGAGTAAAAAAGAATAATAAAGCAGAACCCTAAAATAACAATCAGGGTACATACATACATACATACACACACACACACACACACACACACACACACACACACACAATCAACTGTATTTTTAGATAAATAGACAATGAATGACCTTAAGAGAGCCTCAAGGATATAAAATGAATCATTTAAATCCAGGATCTATGAGACATGGTTTCCTTCGTCGTATCACATAAGCTAAAAAAAATTCTGGTGATTAAAATATAGATGCTTTATTACATAAATAAATGTCCTCTGCATTAGATGAGGTGATCCCACAAGCTGCACTAACAGACATCCTGTATTATTCTGAGTAGAAAGTTCACATCCAACATGGGAAGGAGGTATCTGACCAATGCTTATACTCAATTATATGTAAAATCTCTAATTCACATATTATTTCACAATCTGGTCTTGTGTGATAGCTTATGTAAAAAGGTGTGGCGTTATGTGTGTTTTCCCACTTGAGTTTTGTATTATTATAACTCTGATCAAATATTGTTTCACCTCTCTCCTCTCTCTGCTTTCCTTCTGTGATTCCAGGTATACATATATGAGAACAATACACCACGTTTCATATTTCTTATGTTGTTCACATGTGCTTCATGTGTAGTTCACATGTAATCCACTTGCAGTTCATGTGTCTTTTCTCTCTCTACTTCTATTTGACTAATTCCTATGGATATTTAATTTCCACATAATCAATGCAACTTTTAGGTAACTATTCAGCTATTAAAACTGTTTTAGTGTTTTAAGATTCAATGTTGCCCCTTTTCTAGAATTTTGATACTTTTTTATATATTCAATTTTTTTGGCAAAATTTTTTATCTTCTATTTTCTTTTACCTATTAATGAGCTATTGTAGCTTGTCTGCCTTCAACTCCAAAAAAGGGATTCATTTATACTCTGTTTATGTTGTCAATTAATTTTGTAGGTGTCTTTTGTGTTTGTTTTGTCTTTGTGTCCCACCTTACTGACATTTTATTTTATTTTTAAACTGGACTTTATGTTAAATGCTGTGGTTTGAAGATGGTTTGTTTGGTACCGTCAAGTCTCATGTTGATATTTTATTCCCAGTGTTGGAGGTGGGTCCTTCAAGGAAACGTTTGAGTCTGGGGGGAGATGCTTCATGAATATCTTAGTGGCATTTTTGAGAGTGAGTTCTCATTTTTAGTTCCTAGGAGAACTGTTTGTTGGAAAGAGCTTGACACCTCCTCCTCTATTCCTCGCTCTTGCCGTGTCATGTTTACAAGCTGGCTCCCCATCACCTTCTGCCATGAGTAGAAGCAGCAGGAGGCCATCATCAAAAGCTGAGTAGATGCCTGTGCCATGCTTCTGGTACAGCCTGCTGAACTGTGAGCCAAATAAGCCTCTTTGCTTTGTAAATTACCCATCTTCAGGTATTCTTTAGAGCAACACAAAAATGGACTAAAATATTAAGAAAGAAAAAACTATAGAGGAGAAGTAGTTGATTAGGTGCAAGTAATCTATATCCAGTTAGAATTTGTGATATTTCGAGTCTGAGTTTCAACTTTGTGAGGACTGATCTATTTCCTCTTTGCTTCACTCTCAGGATATACCATTTTAGAAGACTCAACTGAAACCCAGTGTTTATCAGGGCATCTCCTCTTTGCCTTCACCCAACTTTCAAATTTCATGTCATCAGCATAGTGAGTCTGCCAGTATTTCTGCTTAGGACTGTAGTGTCTCAGCTGCTGCTTTAAGTGTGATATATAGCCTTCTCTCCTCTCAATTTTTTTTTTACCCTGGGTTCTTAGTGTCTCAAGCTTTGGTTGCTATGGTGTCTCTTCAATGCCTAATTTAAAAAAAATTTGTTTATTTTTAAAACTGTATTCAGCTTTCATAGTTGTCCTCAGCGGAAATATTTGTCTTCTAAATCTAATTTATAGTAGTCAGAAATGAAGGTTTTGTTGTTTTTAACCAATTATTTTATTCACTTTTGTAAACATTTAAGGGTATGATTTCTTTCTTTTTTCCTTTTGCCTTTTTATTTTTAGCATTTTCATCACCCTAGAAAGTTCCCTTTATGTTCCCCTCTAGCAATTCCTGTCTTCCAGAGGCAACCACTGTTTCTTAAATCCTTCAAAATAAAGAAATGTAATTGTATTCTACTGAATTCCATGGATGTGGCTATTACAATTTTTGTCTGTTAGGATAATGACTCTTGTTAAGAAAAAGAAACACAACAAAATAAAAAAGTAATTCAAACTTCTGGGTTAGTATTTGATTTTTCTAGTTAAGTTTGCCAGTGATATTGAAAAGATAATAAACAAAGTACATTAATTCATAATTTAAACAGTAACAACTCTCTAATATCCAGGAGAAACATATCTCTGTGGCAATGACTGCTAATCTTCAAAAAGTTTTTTTTTCTCCTTTTTTTCAACACACACTTTAATTAGATTTTCCATCTTTCTTGCAGTTAGATAGAACAACATCAATGAATTTTAGCCAAAGGGATATGGGCAGATGGATACTTGACTTTTGCAGACTTGGTCACTAAATAGCATTCACATACATTCTCTATTGTCATTCATGTGACAGGTAACTTGGAGTCCAAGTGGTGACAATAATGGTAACACAATAAGGAGCATGGACCTGATATCGTTAATTGGAGAGGAATTATTTGTCCTGTATTAGAATATAACAAGCAAGAAATAAACCTTTACTAGGTTAAGGCACTGACACTTGGGAATACTTTGTTATAACTTAGCATAGTCTCACTGTTCATTTATTAAGTGATAAAGACTAAATATTTTAATCCAACTTATATAGCTTTCCATACTATTTTTTATTTATTCTGAGTTGTTAGCCAGTCCCTAGAATCATTCTAAGAAAAATAGCATTGTGTTAAAATATAAAGCTAAATTCATAAATGTATTAATAAACTTAAATGTTTATTAAATGTCTATTATAACATGGATGCTATTCAAAGCACTAAGGATTTAGCATGGTAAAATATAAATTTCTGTCATGCTGGAAATTATCTATTAGTTGAGGAAATACTGTTTTACTTGGATACATAGAACCAAAATGGACTTTGGGAGTCATAGATATTAGAAAATATTCTCTAACTTAGAAACAAATATAAATGCTATAAATAATCTGTTTAAATGAATTAAATATTTTTAAAGTTATCTATTTCAACGCGGAATAACACAAGTAAAGAGTTTTTTTTAAGTTGTCGATTACTTTCAACATATTATTTGACAAAACTTAAATGTCCTGTCTTCTTTTGGTTATTTTCAGTATGAGAAGACATTAAAAATGCTGTAATAGTATCCCTCTTCTTTCTGAGATTACCATAATCATTGTCTACATTGACGTACCTCTTTTCTTTGATTGTTTTTTGAGAAGGCCCTTAGTTGAACTAAAAAATCAGGATTCAGATTTTAATCAAAAAAGCTAATAAAAAGCCATAAATCTTGTGTAGTTTTGTATCTTAAATTCCATCTCTAAATACCTAGAACTAGTGGGTTTTCTGATAAAGTATTACTTGTTCAGGTAAATTTTCCAAAATATTAAACTTCTAAATTTTGAGTTTAAATGTAGAGTTTCTATATCTGTCTTTCTCTAAATAATATATCAATTATTAAAAATGCATGCAGAAAGAAATAGAATAAAACAATCATAATTTACACATTATTTAATGTTCAACGGTACAACCTTTGTGAAGTAGCTTTTAATTTTCTTCATCATGGAAGATATTTTTGTTGGATGATTTAACAAGGTAGGCTTTGCTTGAAAAGACAAAGTGACATTAAGAGCAAGTGTCCAGTTTTTCCTTCAAATGAAATCAAGTAAAATGAAACAGAGAAACAAGAAAATGTGATTAGGGCTTGGAATTGGTTGTGACCCAAAATAAAATATAATGAAATAAAATAACCCATATAGAGACAGAACTTCTTTCCAAAACATACTTGCTGGATAGCTGTAAGAAGTTTGGCTAGTTGATATATTTTCTAGGGACAGACCTTGACCAATGACACTGTAACTGTTAATAGTGTTAACGATTGTTCAGCATTCTTGAGTGGCCCTCAGACAATGACTGCACAAGTCACATGTTCAAGGGTCTAATCATTTTACCAAAGGAAAGACTTCACTTCAGAATTTTTAGGGAACTGGCAGAAACCGTCAAGTCTGCATTAGGGGACATTCCTGTGTCTTGCCTATTTCCTTCAGTGTTGCTTTCCAATATACTTTTTTAATTCGTTACTCTCTCTTACCGTTTCCTTCCCAAAGAAATAAATCTGAAACAAACAAATGTCTTTTTAGGATATAAACAATCACAAAAGTAAAAGCTATTTTACAGTTTTATTGTAGAGATTAGAGTTTAAAAGGATTAATTTTTCTTGTTATATTCAGACATCAATGCATTAGGTTGAAAAAACTTGATTGATTTTACATTGAAGTTATCTTTGTATCAGTTTTAACATTTCTATGTAATTAAAAACAACACTAAAATTTCTAATGCCTGTTGTCTCTGGTCTTATCACCTGTGATGTCAAGATTTTATTTTTCATATTTTTTGTAATATCATATATGAACTGATGTTTTCAACTACAATCTATGTATGATGGTATGAAAAAAATTATATTATTTCTGTAGACTTTTACTCTAGAGAGAGTAAGTGTTCAGGAAAGGAAAATATGTGCCTACATTAGTCTAGATCATTTTTATGATATTTAAAATTATGTTCATAACTAGAGATAAAATAAGCAATTCATAGTTGATTATTTCACAATTTTGGAAAAATCCGTCACACAATACAAATCTCTTTTAATTTTGTCAAAAGACATAACAATGTTATTTGCTAGTAAGCACCTCTTTTTCAGAGGCACGCAAAAAATGACAAACTGATATCTAATGAGCTTCAGAGAAAATAAACCTTGGAAGGAGTCTACGTCATCCTAGCTTGAGTCCGAGAGTATAATTCTATAGCTAGTTGCCTAATGTTTCTCATGGCACTGATAGGTTCATATTGATAATATCTGGATTTTATCACAATCCTCTAGTGTTTCTATCATATTTGTCACATTAGCTATTAGTCGTGTAAAAAGGAGAAATATTAGACAAGAACTTTCAGTAGTTGCAATAGAAATAACATTGTATCACTTGGTGCCATATGACCTTTCCCTACACTACTGTAAAACTCCAGTAGAAAAGAAATAGACTCAAGGAATTAGTATTGATTCTTGGATGGAAGCATCAGGTTGTTGTCATGACGATGAACCATTGCTACAATTATGTTCTCATTAGAAATGACACAGCAAACCTTCTCACGTCTCTCCATAGGCACAGCATCTCACTCTGCTTACATGCAAAGCCGTAAGAGAAGGATGCAGTCAATAAACTTTATATCATGTCTGTATACCAATTGCAAATTGGACATAGCCTAGAAAATTGGCCAAACTATTTGTCAGGCCCTGTGCCTGGTGCACAAATTGTCAGATTGCTAAATTTATCATGTGCAATCTGCATTGAATTGCTATGTTCTTGTCCCCCCAACACCAAAAATCAAATTGATTATCATATACGGTTGTACAATGGCATATGAGCTGATTCAGATAAAATGATATGATTCTACTGCAGGAACAGTGATATAATAAATCTAGTAAATTTTAATAGAAAATAGATTCCCATGCAAAAATACCTCATTTCTTCCATTTGTACACACACACAAATAAAAAGAAACAATTGCTCTCAGTGATTGCTAAATTTTTCTATATGTCCTCATTTAGATGTGTTGAAGCACTTTTGGTTTTGTACAAGCTATTTGAAGATACAAAATAACTGTTTTTAAATGAATGCAAATATCTTTGCCATATTCTATTGAGCTATACACTGACTTGTCTGATATAAGAATAACACAAGTTAAAGCAGCCTATTTTTCAAAATTAATCTTACCTACAAAACATGAAGTTAGAGGTTTGCTTCTCTGATATCTGTTATTACTAGTGGTCTAAAAATTCCATCTCTGACCAGGAAAACATTTCAGCTATCTCTCTTAGCAGAAGTTGTTTTGGGGTAATGTGAACATGATCACATTTAGGCTGTCCATAAAAGCAAATAAACGTTTTGGCAGAGAATAATTCTGTGCTGAAAATTGTGAGTGGCAGTGCTGTTATTGAGAATGAAACAATGTGAAATCTGATTTCACTTGTGTGTCAACTGTGTTTCTATATTTACATCACAATATTGCTTTTTAAATTTTTTTTGTCTAAACCAGTTTAAAATACTTTGGAACTCATTTTGGAACGTTCTTGCTTTTCACATTTTCATATTTTCCAAAGAAATAAATAGTTCAGTCTCAGAGTATGCTTTTTAAAATGGTAGTTTGGAATTTAATAAATAGTGAATGTCCAAATATCGTGTTATTTGAATAATTATATATTTTAAAAATTAAAATATTTTATTGGTAATAGAGATATATTGAATGTTCTATAATTTTTATGGAATATTTTTCTTCAGCTTTTGCTTAAACATCTCTGTTACCTGCGTCCAAACTACTTAAAATGTTTGATTAAGCATACATGTTTCTCCTTTATGATAGTTTCAATTAATTTATAGAATGTTTCCTTAATCTTCTTCATTTTTCTGCTTCATCAAATAAAACAATAATAATTACATCATTTTAATATTTTTCAGAATGCTAGTTAAATATTTTATACTGATGGATATTTGAAATGACACAAATATGAAATTTTGTCTTTTTAAATAATTCCCACAAATGCTTTCAAAAGAGAAAGCTGGCCGGCACAAGGAAAATAAATCAGAACTCTTAGATATTTAGGTCTGACATATTAGCCAAGTCTTTTTAGATGAATACTGAAATTTGTGTTTTACAATTGTGACTTGATAAGATGAAAATGAGGTGAAAAAATGAAAATGGACAGATTTGCTGCAAAACTTTTTAGGATACATATTTTCCCTGTTGGAGAAAAAAAAGTTTTATCTTTTCCAAAGACAATTTTTTTCTGATTATTTATTTGCCAATTCATATGTCAAAATGTTTATTCAACATATAAATATTTATAAATGTAAGAGATTAATAATTTGACTATAATACATTCTGATGGCTCTACTCAGGTAAGAATGAAACAGTCTTTTGTTTCTTTATACGCAAAAAGTGAATTCCTCTATGATCTGATAAATTAATTCCTCTCAGTAGATTAGTGTATCTAATTTCACAAGTAGTTTCTAATTGTGGTACCTATTGAATTATTGTATAAAAATTATATTCTGCTTATACTTGAATCTATTGAATTCAAAGAAGATGATAATATATATTTTAAAAAGCTTACTATATATTATAAACATTTTCAGAAATTATGTTTTGGTATGAAAGTGAATTTTTATTGAAAACATTGTTTCTTCTAATATGCCTTTCAAATATTTTATAAAATAATATCAGTGCAAATTTAAAAAACAAAAACATCTGAAACCCAGCTTACTTACCGAACTTAAATTCAGAGCACTGATGCTGCCCCACAACCTTATGGCCTCATTGATCTTATGTTACTACCTTCAATATGGTAATTCTTTGTTCTTTTCTATTTATTTGCTTTATGATACCTCCCCCAGGAAAATGTAAGCTTCTAGGGGTAGACAGTAAGTGTTTGTGTGTGTGTGTTTTTTTTTATTTCATCACTTTATTACCATCACCTTGTTAGGTACCTGGGACACAGTGGATTACCATAATGTGTTGGATAAGAAAAAGAAAGACTGAGTAGATGAGACAGACTTTGATAGTCCTTTTGAACAGAATGCTAAGCAAGCATAAAATTAAAGGCAAAGAAATTAAGGTTTGGAGAAGAGACCCTTCTTTGGTCTTTTAGTTAGGTTATTTTCCTCAATTTAGTAATTTGGTATTACCAAATACCTTTTTTTCTTTTTTTAAAAGAGACAACGTCTTAGTCTGTTGCACAGACTATAGTGCAGTGGAATGATCATAGCTCACTACGTCCTAGAACTCCTGGGTTCAAGCAATTTCCCTGCTTCAGCCTCCCGAGTAGTTGGGACTACAGGCATGCACCCCACATCTGTCTAATTTTATATATACATAATATATTTATACAGATATATGACTGGGGCCTTGTTACATACCCAGCCTTGTCTGGAACTCCTGACTTCAAGTGATGCTCCTGCTTCAGCCTCCCAAATTTATGAGATTACAGGCATGATCCACCACACCTGGCCAACTTATTTTCTTAATCTATTCATAGAGGCTACTTTATCCCATTTTCCTATCTTACCTAGTAAGCTAAAATTTGATGGGTAGGAGATCTGAGTGTTATTTATTTCAATACCTCCCTCTCCAATCTTCAACATTTATTATGAATTCTAGAGATCAGATGGTTACCAGAAGAATTTTTCCAAATCAATTCCACATATTATGTAATTTTGTTCTGTCTGTATGCACTAATTGCAAACCTCAGATCTTCTCCTTGGGTAACAGAAATTACTGCTTTTTTTGATTTTGAGGCATGGCCAATGCTAAAAGATTGCTTAAGTCAAAATGCCACTACCTCTGACATGAAATAGAACAGTCTTTGGAAGCATTCCCTGATCTGGAAAAGACTCACTGAATGTTTTATGTAGTGTTCTGTAATTAACATAAATCATTATCATTCTCTTTCTTATAAGAATACAACTGGCACATGTTAGTAATCCGGTATAACTCAGTCCTTAAAAAGTTGTATCCAGAAAATGATCCCAAAAGTCCCTTGGTCAAAAAATACACACAAATCCCAAAGGTTCGGTGGCAAGTAAAAGTATAAGGCAAAATTAAAGCGTTTGCAATTTTTTTTCAGGTGAAACAAACTGGAATTCCATGTTAAATGTATTCATGACTTCGTGAAAAATCTATTCATAAAGTAAAACCAGAAATCTAATGGTAAGGAGTCATGTGTTAACTTCACAGATGTTTTATTGTGTGCTCTTCACCTGTGAGGCAGAATTCAAAGCACAGAGAAAGAATGTTGAGAAAAATATACACGTTTCTTCTTCTCTTCAAACTTATGATCAAGCCGAGGAAACAGACAATAGAAAAAAAAAAAAACAGCAACAAGAAATTACCATGCGATAGTTAGTACAATTCTGAAACTAAAAACGTGGTATATCACCTTTCATAGTTACCTATTTTTGCAGTAAGAGCACCTAAAATTTACTCTCTTAGCAAATTTCCCATGTACACAGTATTAACTACTGTATAGTCTTCATTATGACATTATTTCTGTAGACTTACTCATTCTACATAACTGCAACTTTGTACCTTTGACCTACTTCTCTCCATTTCCTCCTCATCTCACCCTTAGTAACCACTGCTCTACTCTCTGTTTCTATGTATTCAACTTCCACATATAAATGAGATCATGCACTATTTTCTTTTCTGTGTCTGGTTTATGTCCTCCACCTTCATCCGTGTTTCCACAAATGTCAGTATCTCCTCCTTCTTTTTTAAGGCTATGTGTGTGTGTGTGTGTGTGTGTGTGTGTGTGTGCACGTGCGTGCCTCAATTTATTTGTCCATTCATTGATGGACACTTAGGTTGTATTCATAGCTTGGCTATTGTGAATAATGTTACAATAAATATGGGAGTGCATGTATCTCATTGACAGTGATTTCATTTCCTTTGGATATATACTTAGAAATGGAATTGCTGGGTTATATGGTATTTGTATTTTTAATTTCTTCAGTAACTTCCATTCTGTTTTCTTTACTGGTTATATCAATTTACATTCCCCCCAAAAGTTTGTATGTACAGGGGCTCCCTTTTCTTCACACCCTCACCAACACTTGTCATCTCTTATTCTTTTGATAATAGCTATCCTAACAAGTATAAGTATCACATTGTGGTTTTGATTTGCATTTCTCTGATAATTAGTGATGTCAAAAAAAAGACACGTATATTGGCCACCATTATGTGTTCTTTGAAAAAAAAGTCTATTTAGGTAATTTGCTCATTTATTACCTGTTGTTGTTTTTTTTTTTTGCTATTTATATGTGTTAGTTTCTTATTTATTAAAACATCAGATATATTGTTTGCCCATATTTCATTTCAGTCTGTAGGCTGACTTTCACTTTGTTCATTGTTTCCTTTGTTGTGCAGAGGTGTTTAAGTTTGATGTACTCCCACTTGTTTATTTTTGCATTTATTGCCTGAGCTTTTGGTGTGATATTCAGAAAATCAATTTCAGGACTAATATTTATCAAGGAGATTTCCCTCTGTATTTTCTTCTGGAAGATTAATGTTTCCAGGTTTTATGTATAGTTTCTTAATCCATTCTCTGTTCTTGTGTGTGGTGTTAGAACCTCATTTTGTTCTTTTGCACGTGGATCCAGTTTTCCCAGCACCATTCATTGAAGAGACTGTTCTTTCCCCATCGTGTCCTCTCAATAGTCGTGTTGAAAATGAGTGGATTATATGAGACTGTGGCTCTCCATTCTGTTCCATCAGTCTACATGTCTGTTTTTATGTCAGTACTATATTGTTTTTAAAACTCTACCTTTGTAATACAGTTTGATATCATGAAGTATGTTACCTCCAACATTGTTTTTCTTTCTTAAGATTGCTTTTTGTATTCAGGGTATTTTGTGGTTCCATACAAATTTTAAGATTTTTTTTTTATTTCTATTAAAAAATGCTCTTGGAATTTAGATAGAGATTGCACTGTGTATTAGTCTGTTCTCACACTGCTATGAATAAATACCTGAGACTGGGTAAGTTATAAAGAAGAGAAGTTTAATTAACTCACAGTGCCATATGGCTGAGGAAGCCTCAGGAAACTTACAATCATGGCAGAAAGGACCTCTTCACAGGGTGGCAGGAGAGGGAATGAGTGCAAGCAGGTGATATGCCAGATGCTTATAAAACCATCAGATCCCTTGAGAGTCACTCATTATCATGAAAACAACATGGGGAAACCACTCTTATGATTCAATTTCCTCCATCTGGTCCCACCCTTGACATGTGGGAATTATGGGGATTACAATTCATGGTGAGATTTGGGTGGGGATACAGAACCAAGCCATATCACACTGAGTTTGTAAATTCCTTTGAGTGTTATGGAAATTTTGATAACATTAATTTTTCCTATCTGTGAATACTAGAAACTTCCCATTTATTTACAATGTCAATTTCACTAATTTGTATTACTTTCAGTATGCAGGTATTTCACCTCTTCGGTTAAACATAGTCCTAAGATGGGGCTTCAAAATGGCTAAATAGAAATATCTGCCACTTTTCTCCTGCATAAAGAAAGACCAAAACAGCAAATATATAATCACATATCAATATAACATGTAAGAGACAACACTGAAATTCAGCAGAGAAGTGACAAAGAAACTCTGAGATATGGATGGAGAGGGATGCAAAGCAGCTAGCCTAGCTGTAATGGGTTTGGAGATGAGAAACTCCTCGTTGTGGGGAAAAGGCAAGCAAGAGATCCCTGGACGTCCATATTATGACCACAGACTTCTGTAATTCTACAAGAGAGTCCCATGATTTTTGCCAGTTCTGATACTAGTATAGGGAGCTCACTGGAGATGATGCAATGGTACTGTTCCAGAGATGGAGTCCCATACACCCCCAAGACCCAAGCAGCTGCCATTTGAGAGTCCAGTTCTCACAAGACTACATCCTGCCGTGGGGCCCAACAGTGCCTGCATCTCCACATCCCTGGAGCCCCACTGATATACCTCCATAATCACCCAGAGGGCTACAGCATCGTGATGCCATCTGGACCCAGTAGTATGGCTGGGTCCCTAATGCTCTAGTCCACATAATGTTCTATACCCTGGGGAACTGGTAGTGCAGTGCAGGAAAAAAAACATGTGTAAAGCATGCACTCCCCAAAGCCTGAGAGCCACCCATCTGGAGCTGCTGAAATTGATGGTAATCCCACACCCTCCAGAAACAGGGACACTATACATTTGAACAGGATTTCAGGGGGCCTTGACTCTGGCCTGCTGGGGTACCATCCTAGACTCTGGCCTGCTGGTGATCCCACCCACCACCACTGTCACTAGTGCCTAGGTGCAACATCTGGGGCCCTGGGGATCAATCCACTTTGCCTGCCACAGCAAGTTCACACCATTGAAGGGCCTGAGGAAAGACCAGCTTCACCACCACCGCCAATGCCAGCTCCTTCATGTGTCATCCAGCAACCTGAGGAGCGACCCTTCTTGGGCAATGCCACTAGTGCCCGTTTGCACCATGGAAGGCTTGACAACTGGTCCACCACACTTGTTGCCACCATCGTCAGTGTCTGAACATGCCGTTCTTGGGCCTGGAGATCAATGGACCCCACTCACCACAGCCAGTGCCTATAAACACAATTGAGAAGACTGAAAACCATTCTGCCTTATACACAGCCTCCACTGGCAATGCCCATGTGTGTCATTGAGGGGCCTGGGGATTTGCCAGCCTTTTCTGCCACTGCTGATGCACACACATGCACTCTGGGGGCTCAAGGACTGACGCTTCTGGCCTGCTACCACCAACACAAGTACCTGAGGTCTGGCCCACTTGACGTTCTCATCTCCAGCAAAGCGTTCGCACAGCTTCCACTAACAGCTGCAGCTTAAGCTAATGAGGAACTTACAGGAATGACTGATGCTGAGTACAGCTAAAGAAATCATATAGAGATTACACTACTGTACCCGCCCAGAACAAAAGCCAAAGTGCCCTCCTTAAGCAACACTATAGATATGTCTATAGGAAAAAGTATTTCCCTATGAAAGCCAATCCACACAACTGTAACAAAAAACTATTATACCAGATATGCAGAAATAATCATTAGGACACAGAAACAAGGAAAGCAAGGAAACACGACACCTCCAAGGAACAAAATTATTATCCAGTAACAGATTTTGACAATAAAGAAATTTATGCTATGCTTGAAAAAGAATACAAAATAATGATAGTGAAGAAACTTAGTAAAATATAAAAGAACACAGATAAACAACACAAAGAAATCAGGAAAACAATTCATGATCTGAACGATAAATTCAACAAAGAGATAGATATAAAAAAGAACTAAATAGAAATCCCTAGAACAGAAAAATTTAATGAATGAAGTAAAACATTAAATCAAGAGCTTCAATAATAGACTAAATTAAGGGGAGGAAAGAGTTTTAAAATTGATGATAGGTCTTTTAATACAACCTAGTAAGACGAAGTGGAAAAAGGTAAAGAAAAATGAAAGGCCGGGTGCAGTGGCTCATGCCTGTAATCCCAGCACTTTGGGAGGCTAAGGTGGGTGGATCTCCCGAGGTCAGGAGTTCGAGACCAGCCTGACCTACATGGAGGAACCCCGTCTCTACTAAAAATACAAAAAATTAGCCAGGCGTGGTGGCAGGCGCCTACAGTCCCAGCTACTCGGGAGGCGGAGGCAGGAGAACGGCGTGAACCCAGGAGGCGGAGCTTGCAGTGAGCCGAGATCACACCACTGCCCTCCAGCCTGGGCGACAGAGCGAGACTCTGTCTCAAAAAAAAAAAAAAAAAAAAAAAAAAAAAAGATTTAATCTAAAGACCAGAGACTATAAACCTACCTACTGGAAGAAAACAGAGAGAGAATACTTCAGGACATTAGTCTAGGCAACAGTTTTATGGCTATGACTTCAAAAGAACAAGCAACAAAAGCAAAAATAGATAAGTGGAACATTATTAGACTAAAAACTTCTTCACAGCAAAGGAAACAAACAGAATGAAGATACAACCTGTAGGACTGGAGAACATACTTGCAAACTATTTATCTGTCAAAGGACTAAAATCCAGAACATATAAGGAACTCAAACTACTCAATTGCAAAAAATCAGATGATTCCGTTAAAAAGTGGGCAAGAAATCTGAATAAACATTTCTCAAAAAAAAAAAATACAAATGTCTAAAAGGTATATAAAAATACTCAACATAACCAATCATGATGGGAATGACCATCAAACCACAATGAGATATCATCTTACTACAGTTAGAATGGCTATCAAAAACACAGAAAATAATGAATGCTGGTGGGGATGAGGATAGAAAGAAACTTCATGCATTGTTAAGGAGAGTGTAAATTAGTACAGCCATAATAGAAAACACCATGAAAGTTTCTCAAAAACTGAAAGCAGAATCATCATTCAATCCAGCAATTTTGCTACTGGATATTTAACCAAAGGAAAGAAAATCGATATATCAGAGGTATACTTGTATCTCCATGTTTATTGCACTACTTTTCACAATATCCAAGCTATAGAATAAAACTAAATGTCCATCAGTAAATAAATAAAGAAAATGTGGCATATATACACAATGAAATACTACTCAGTTGTAAAGAAAGAAAAAAAAGTCCTGTCATTTGTAGCAACTGGATAAATCTGGAGGTCATTATATTAAGTGAAATAAGACAGTCACAGAAAGACACATATTGCATGTTCTCACTTATATGCAGGAGTTAACAAAGTTGATCTTATAAAGAACAAGATAGAATGATAGTTACCAGAGGCTGGGAAGCAGAAAGAGGAAGAGAGATTGATTAATGGGCACAAAAATACAATTAAATAGAAGAAATAAGTTCTAGTGTTTGATACCACAATAGAGTGACTATAGTTAATAATAATTTACTATATTTCATAAGAGAGGATTTGAAATGTTCCCAAGCAAAAGGAATAATAAACTCTTCAGGTGATGGATATCCCAAACACCATGATTTTATCATTATATATTGTGTGCATGTATCAAATATCACATGTACCTCATAAATATGAATATGTTTATGTATAAGTTTAAAAAGTTAAAAATATTCTAAGTACTGTTTATTTTTTATGCTATTGTAAATGGGAATGTTTTCTTGAGTTACCTTTTAGATAGATAATATTGGTTTAAAGAAATGCAACTAATTTTCGTATGTTGACTTTGGATCATGCTACTCTGCTGAGTTCATTTATCAGCTTAATTTTTTTTTTTTTTTTTTTTTTGAGACGGAGTTTCGTTCTTGTTACCCAGGCTGGAGTACAGTGGCGTGATCTCTGCTCACTGCAACCTCTGCCTCCCGGGTTCAAGGGATTCTCCTGCTTCAGCCTCCTGAGTAGATAGGATCACAGATGCCTGCCACCACGCCCAGCTAACTTTTTGAATTTTTAGTAGAAACGGGGTTTCACCATGTTGGCCAGACTGGTCTTGAACTCCCGACCTCAGGTGATCCACCTAATAGCTCTATTTTTTATGGGGACTTAGTAGTTTCTACATATAAGTTCACATTATCTGCAACAAGGATAATTTTGCTTCTTTTCTGATTTGGATGGCATTGATTTTTTTAATTGTCTGATTGCTTTTGCTGGTACTTCCAGTACTATGTTAGGTAGAAGTGATGAAGGGTAGGCATTTTTGCTTTTTACTGGATCTGAGAGGAAAAGCTATAGCTTTTCCCCATTGATTAAGTTGTTATCTGTGAGCTTTCTATAATCGGCCTTTTTTTTTTTTTTTTTTTTAGGAAATTTCCTTCTATGCCCATTTTGTTGAGTTTTTAATCAGAAAATCTTGAAATTTGTCGATGTTTCTCTGAATCTGAGAAGATAATGTATTTTTCTCTTTTTGCTAGTGTCATGTATCCATGTGTTTCTTTGCATATTTTAAAACCAACCCTGTATTCCAGGAATAAATCCCACTTGATTAGGTTGTATAATTCTTTTAAATGCTATTGAATTTGGTTTGCTTGTATTTTATTAATAACAATAGTAATTGCCAGGCTAGGTGGCTCATACCTGTAATCCCATCACTTTGGGAGGCCGAGACACCCGGATCATGAGGTCAGGAGTTCAAGACCAGCCTGGCCAACATAGTGAAACCCATAATCGGCCTTTATTATGTTTAGGAAATTTCCTTCTATGCCCATTTTTTTGAGAATTTTTAATCAGAAAATGTTGTTGAAATTTGTCAAAGTTTTTTGAATCTGAGATCATAATGTATTTTTCTCTTTCTGTTAATGTCATGTATCTCATTTACTTATTTGCATATTTTAAACCAACCCTGTATTCCAGAAATAAATCCCACTGGATTAGGTTGCATAATTCTTTTAAATGTTGTTGAATTTTGAATTTGATTTGTTCATATTTTATTAATAATAATAGTAATTGCCAGGCGCGGTGGCTCATGCCTGTCATCCCACCATTTTTAGAGGCCAAGGCGGGTGGATCACAAGGTCAGGAGTTTGAGACCAGCCTGGCCAACACAGTGAAACCCTGCCTCTACTAAAAATACAAAAATTAGCAGGTCATGGTGGCGTGCACCTTATTCCCAGCTACTAGGGAGGCTGAGGCAGGAGAATCGCTTGAACCTGGTAGGCAGAGGTTGTGGTGAGCCGAGATTGTGCCACTGCACTCCAGCCTGGGCAACAGAGTGAGAATTCATCCAAAAAAAATAGTAATTTATTTAATAATAGCAATAGTGATTTAATAGCTGCTAGAATTTTTGCATCAAATTTAATCAAAGTTACTAGCTTATAGTTTTCTTTTAATATAAGTTTAATAACCTGTCTCCTCAATTTCCTGCCTGGGTTGATAAACTATTAATCTTTCTTCATCTCTCATTTTAAGAAAACAGCCATTTTAGAGATAAGC
This sequence comes from Homo sapiens, assembly GCF_000001405.40. Taxonomy (NCBI): domain Eukaryota; kingdom Metazoa; phylum Chordata; class Mammalia; order Primates; family Hominidae; genus Homo; species Homo sapiens. The sequence goes on along the minus strand of NC_000005.10, from coordinate 27,443,518 downwards.
TGTCTGGGTGGTGTGTAGTATTTGTCTGAGAAGCAAAAATGTATAAAAATAATTAGCCTTGATTCTGTTTATTCATGTAGTTTCTGAGGTAAGTGACCGGGGCCCAAGTCAATGCTAACATAGAGAGTCAGCCTGATGTAGGATATCTACTGTGTTCTAGGTGTTCTGTTTTGGAAAAAGAAATTTTGACATACTTGGTAACTATTTTACCCTATAGTTTGAGGTAAAGGTGGGAAGAATAAGTCATGCTTTGTTTGAGCAATTAATGCAAAGTAAATAGACATGTGTTTTAACAGTTTGGATGTCAGAACTATTTAGTTATAACAGGCTACAAGGCTGGATCAAATTTTCCTCCACAATTTAAGGTTAGGCCCTGTTTTTGAATTCTGATCAGAGCCTGATTGAACCCCTTTGTGATCCTATGAAGGAGCTAGTCCATGGTAACACAAAAGTGAAACTGAACATCAGTGAGGGAGACATTTCCACCCTGACTCCAATATTAGTTCCTGAATAATCTTAGACAAGAAAGAAAACACAGCTTTCTGTATTTTTACTGTAGGCTTACTTCAGGATTCAGGAAAACATACTTCCACTATGCTTTACCAATTTCATGAAAGCAGTGTAGCAAATTACAACAGAATATAGGTATTTAGTCACATGGGCTGAGAAGCAAACAAGAATAACACTTATGTTCTGTGTAAACTGAAATGTCAGTTTTTACTTAATGGAAGGATCAGAATTGATTAATGGAGTTAATTTATCCAAAATGTTGACCAATTTTCTATTACATTAAGAGATGCTGAAATATTAGGTTTGAAAATGGCATCAAGATGAGAAAAAATTCTCCAAGTGAGTTATCAGAAAAAACATTCTCCAAGTGACTTATCAGAAATTTCAAAGTAGAATTCAGTGGCTTCAAATTTACAAGAATGTTTGAGCATCCCTAACAAGATACCACTGGCCAGAAGTGGTGGCTCACGCCTGTAATCCCAGCACTTTGGGAGGCCGAGTGGGTGGATCACCTGAGGTCAGGGATTTAAGATCAGCCTGGCCAACATGGCAAAACACCACCTCTACTAAAAATACAAAAATTAACTGGGTGTGGTGGTGTGCACCTGTAATCCCAGCTACTCGGGAGGCTGAGGCAGGATAATTGCTGGAACCTGGGAAGCAAAGGTTACGGTGAGCCAAGATTGTGCCACGGCACTCCAACCTGGGCTACAGAGCAAGACTCCATCTCAAAAATAAAGAAAAATATACCACCAACCTTTCAGATTTTGTCAGTGGGGTTTCAAAGAAAATCATCAGGAAGAATCATTACAGCCCTCCTGAAATTTGGAATATATATATATATATATATACACATACATATATATATATATATTTCCTGAAATATAGAAAGATACACTTTGCATTAGTGTTGGAGACATAGCTGACATCTAATCAAGAGACAGTCTAAAATCGCCTGTGATTGTAGAATATAAAGGGTTTATTACAGGTGACAGACTACACATTTGTGAGAGGCAGTTCAGTAATTTATGTAGATTGTTATGTTTCAATCTTATGTTGAACCTGGAAAGGAGAGGTATAAAAACAAACTGCAACCGGTGAGGACAAATTGAACCTTTATTTGTCTCCTGACTTCTAATTTCTTTGGTACAGGTGACCTACTCGATAAACTGGATCCCTTCACTACAGAGCTAAAAATCTTGCCAAAGGTTTAAAGTTGTTAAAGAAGGAGATGTCACGGACTATAAAGGAACTTCAATTCCAGCTGCTGGCCCATCAGCAAAGTAAGCTGGCAGATCAGGGACAATATGTGCAAGCTACAACAATGTCTGGCTTACTAAAACATTCAGAGCATAATCATGGATGCTGTTTCTACTTTGTTATCCAAATTTCAAGAAAAATTCTCCTGTGACCAACTCTATCCCAAAACCACATGGAATAGGATATTCTTGGAAATTTAATTTGAGATTAAGCTAAATTGATGCAGTACAGTACAAAGCCATCACAGGGCTGCTCTAGGGAGTAATTCAACTCTCTTTTGGTGGTTGGTCAAAGTGTGCACATCTTGGAATATTATCTCCCTTCTCAGTTGCTTTGTTTCTTAGTAAAACAATTTCTAGTGTGAGGAGAACTTGCAGAGCTTGAAGGAAACCTACCACACTCCATTCCCTAAAAGCAGATACATCCCTTTGAACCATGTCCTATTTGGGAAATGAGGGGAGCAATTTTTAAATGCAAATTGATGTCTTATTTATGGGATTGGACACATCCAATTACCAAATTGATACTGTGGGGTTGCACCTTAATGCCACCACAAGACATGACTACCTGAGAGTAATAAGAAATTTCATGATAATGTACACATTTTTCATTAGGAAGCAGTAAAGTATTATTTCCTCTTGAAAAAATTTTGAAGAGTCAGTATAAAGACAAAAATAAAGACTCTTCTTTATTACATTTCAATAAACTTGCATACTTAATGAAAAAATTTTATATTATATTAAAATTTATTAATATTAATATATTGTCTAACCTAACCATTTGCTTCTTAGCCATGTTTATTTTATCAATAACCATTCAGGGCTTCCGACCCACTTTAGAATGATAATTCTAAATTCAGAATAAAGAGCAATCGCTTCCTTTGTTTTGACTGTGGGTGTTGAGTCTGTCTTTGCTTATAAGTGCACCAAACAGGTAAGAAGAAGGGTTTTTAAAATCTACATATTAGATTATCTGTCGTTGGCACAGGACTATTTAAAATTCCACCTTCCATTTTGAGCCATTTTAGCTGAGGTTAGTTCTGTATTTGCATGCAGTTAGTTGTAGATAACACAACAGCAATACTTCCATAAAAATTACAACAAATCTTACATAAATAATTACAGAGCCTACTTTTGTAGTATCAGGTTTATCAAAAATTTAGTAAAACATCTAACTTGACCTAAAGCCTCATGACATTTCAAACATATAATTTTTTAGCATACGTTGAAAAACATATTTCCTATAAAGTCCTGAGGTTAGAACAGTTATTCTGGAAATGATCACTGATCCTAGGATAAAATTACTTGATAATTGAACCTGGAGAATTACATTGTAGAGGTTCAGTTAATTACTCGGAGATTTGTATTTCCCAAATCCAGGTAGCAAGTTCAACTGCCCTGATTTTTGTAATCCTCTGGCCCCTTTTTCACTGGGACCTAACATAGTCTCTCCTCACAGCCAAATAATAAAATCTACATTGAATAAATGTCCATAGGTATTAAAAGAAAACAATGAATGTGCAATCTGATTCTCAACATGATCTTCTTCATAAAGTGTTTAGAAATAGTAATTTATCCTATGCTTTAACAAGGTTTTCATTACTCCACTAAAGTTTGTAACCATTCTTTTATTGAATAATACATCCAGTTTGTGGGGAAAACAGTAAAACCCAAACAACATATAGGTTTCCACTAATAGTAACATATTAATGTTGATTTCTTTGTTGTGTACCATTGAAAGGTGACAGCGTGCTAGCAGTCCTCAGAGCCCTCGCTTGCTCTCGGCACCTCCCCTGCCTGGGCTCCCACTTTGGTGGCATTTGAGGAGCCCTTCAGTCCCCCACTGCACTGTGGGAACCCCTTTCTGGGCTGGCCAAGGCCGGAGCCCACTCCCTCAGCTTGCAGGGAGGTGTGGAGGGAGAGGCATGAGCGGGAACAGGGGCTGTGTGCGGCACTTGCGGGCCAGCTGGAGTTCCGGGTGGGCGTGGGCTTGGTGGGCCCCGCACTCGGAACAGCCAGCCAGCCCTGCTGGCCCCGGGCAATGGGGGACTTAGCAGCCGGGCCAGTGGCTGCAGAGGGTGTACTGGGTCCCCCAGTAGTGCCGGCCCACCGGCGCTGCCCTCAGTTTCTCGCCGGGCCTTGGCTGCCTTCCCACTGGGCAGGGCTCAGGACCTGCAGCCCGCCATGCCTGAGCCTCTCACCCCCTCCGTGGGCTCCTGTGTAGCCCGAGCCTCCCCGACGAGCACCACCCCCTGCTCCATGGCGCCCAGTCCCATTGACCACCCAAAGGCTGAGGAATGCGAGTGCACAGCACGGGACTGGCAGGCAGCTCCACCTGCAGCCCCGGTGCAGGATCCACTAGGTGAAGCCAGCTGGGCTCCTGAGTCTGGTGGGGACGTGGAGAGTCTTTATATCTACCTCAGGGATTGTAAATACACCAATCAGCACCCTGTGTTTAGCTCAAGGTTTGTGAGTGCACCAATCGACACTCTGTATCTAGCTGCTCTGGTGAGGACGTGGAGAACCTTTATGTCTAGCTCAAGGATTGTAAATACACCAGTCGGCACTCTGTATCTAGCTCAAGGTTTGTAAACACACCAATCAGCACCTGTGTTTAGCTCAAGGTTTGTGAGTGCACCAATCGACACTCTGTATCTAACTGCTCTGGTGGGGCCTTGGAGAACCTGTGTGTGGAAACTCTGTATCTAACTAATCTGATGGGGACGTGGAGAACCTTTGTATCTAGCTCAGGGATTGTAAACGCACCAATCAGTGCCCTAACAAAACAGGCCACTGGGCTCTACCAATCAGCAGGATGTGGGTGGGGCCAGATAAAAGAATAAAAGCAGGCTGCCGGAGCCAGCTTTGACAACCCCCTCGGGTCCCCTTCCACAGTGTGGAAGCTTTGTTATTTCGCTCTTTGCAATAAATCTTGCTACTGCTCACTCTTTGGGTCCACGCTACTTTTATGAGCTGTAACACCCACCGTGAAGATCTGCAGCTTCACTCCTGAGCCCAACGAGCCCACGAGCCCACTGGGAGGAACCAACAACTCCAGACGTGCTGCCTTAAGAGCTGTAACACTCACCGTGAAGGTCTGCAGCTTCACCCCTGAGCCAGTGAGACCACGAACCCACCAGAAGGAAGAAACTCCAAACACATCTGAACATCAGAAGGGACAGACTCCAGACGCGCCACTTTAAGAGCTGTAACACTCACCGCGAGGGTCCGCGGCTTCATTCTTGAAGTCAGTGAGACCAAGAACCCACCCATTCCGGACACACCATCATCATGTAAGGCACTAACAACAGGAGAAGCTGGGTGAAAGGTATATGGGACATTTCTGCACCATCTTCACAACTTTTCTGTAAATCTAAAATTAAATGGTTTATTGAAAATTAGCGTCATGTATAATCATAACAAAAAATCACACTTTTAGTATTTGGTTTATTTATTTTTTTTTGGTAGGAGTTTCCTCACCTTTGTCTGCTTAAAATGAACAGCTCGGATAACTTATATCAATGTATTTGCTTACTCTAGATTTCATTAATGATGTATGTTGAAGAATATGTATGCACATTATTTAGACAACCTGTAATATTGAAAGTTTATGTTGAATAAAGAGCATGTACATCGAAAATTAGCTTAACCTTTTTTTTTCCTTTTACTAAGTATAAAATTACCAAGGCTCTGAAATATGGAGTGAAATCTTTGTGGCTTTTATGGCTAAATGCTTGCTTGCTCAAGCAGATTAAAGTCAACATTCTGAGAGCTCTTTTGAGTAGCGGAAGGATTAACTCACAGGCATATGCAACTGTTAAACAACTCATCTTTCACAGAACTATATCATCTTACTCTCACCAACTTCAGTTCTATAATCTTCTCTACATATAAGTGTCTTCCAGTTATAGTATATGTGCAACCATCACAAAAGCTCTGGGGATCAATTTTTAAAGTAAATGCTGATTAATCAAATTCTAGTAAGTAAACCCAGGACATATTTCATATATATATATGTATATGAAATATATTCTGGAGATCATATAATAAACAGTGGAATAAGATTATTTTGAACTAGATTGAAAATAAATAGCTGTGACTGTTGCTGCAAGTTCAGTGGTGGGGGAAAAATCTTTTCAGGAAGGAATGATTAAGTGACTTATAATTATTCCCCATTTGCAGACACACTAAGTGTGCTGCTGATCAATGTCAGATCAGCAGAGACACACTTACGGAGGCTGACTGAACTGTACACCAGCTCTTGTACAGAAACATTACATGCCTCCAAGACATGTTTTTCCTCCGAAAGGTATTTGGTGTGATGCTATTAGCAATGAAAGTAACTACTGCATACTTCAGAAGATTGTTGTCAATGATAATTTAAATATTATCACTCAATGTATTATTTATGAGTATTTTTATTTTTGTAATGTTTTTGTATTTGTCCACTTCTTATTATAATTGTTTAGACAAGAAAGTTTGCTTTCTTCCCCCCAAGCAGCACAGCATAAAGCTAAATTTCAGCCCATCCAATAAAATTACAGATTTCAATATACTTCCAATCTCTAGTTTATATCTCAACTTTGCCTTTTCAACTTATTTCTCCTCAGTTTTAAATTTTATATATAAGTATATATATAAATATATATCTAAATATATATATATTTGCCTGCTTAAGAATAACCTTAGGCTCTGTCTGAATCTTTTTTTAAGAGAATTGCTGGTTTTTAATTAAGTTTTAATGAAGCTTTAATAATGTTAACTCAAGAGAGTCACCATTTTCCCTGCTTGTGAAAGAACGTTTTTCTACATAGTTGTTACATGGCTTCTGTTATCAAAATAAACCGAGAATCAGTCATGGCTAATGAAATGTTAAATATGAAAATAGAGTCATTCTATATACAAAAATCACAAACATTGTCAATAACATTTTCCATATAATAATATGCTTTACTTCTTAATCAGAAGTTATAGTTTTAAGGCTTTCTAAACAGATGGAGTTCATTAAATTTAAATATTGTCTCTTAAAGCAGTGATGAATTATTGGAGTGGAGAAATACAAATAGAAATATCTCCTGTTTGATAATCTTTTGTCCTAGTCAAACCATGGGGTTAATAAAGTCAGGTCTGCATGCTCTGCTTGCTTTCAGTCACCTGCTTTTGTTGTTGTTGTTGTTTTTCTCTGTAGCTGAGGGTTGCAGTAACTGAAGGCCTTACCACTAAACACTAAAACTTAACCTTTACTGGTGACTTAATAAGTAACATTCATAGGTGACCATGGTGATGGTTGCTTCCATTGTTTTTCAGAAACTTGGCCAGCTCCTGTCTAGTTCAAACTAGTTGAGACCACTGACCCTTCAACTGGGTCTGCATGGGTGCCTGAGAGGTGGCCTTTTGATATCAGAGGGTCAAAAACTCCACCCTCAAGATCATGCTAATGTTGCCATTTTCTGTACATATGTCCTGTGAACTGTTCGTCCACCTCATCTCTTGGTGACCTAGTGTGTAAATCTTTTCTCTTTTGCAGAATCTATGTCACAGTGATTGATTTACTGCATATGAGCAGAATGAACCTGGACCTGGCCAGTATCATTAAGGTCAGCATAAACCTAGTCAGCTAGCAGTAGAGTTAGGAGTTCTCTTAAAGAAAGAGCTCATGGCTCTGATAGAATTAATCTTCTAATGAACTAATAATAAATGATTGGCTTTAGAGCCCAATTATTTTATTGTGAATTGTTTACTTGCTTTGCTGTTTTTGTGTTTGTTATATTGTGTTTGATTTTCTGGAGTTGGTATTGAGAAACATGGCTAGATATTTTCAAAAAATCCCTGTAATGATCTAAAACTCCGATTGCAAGAACAAATAAGACATTTTACCAAAGAGCTTTATAGTCAAATGTACTACTTTTTGATGTCAGAAATGAGAATTAATTTCACACTGGTCACAGCTGATGTTGTGTCTTGAGCAAAGATGGGGGAAATTCTTAGATATTAATTTTATTAATCCTCTGATGCTTCATCCTTGGGAGGTTTTGGTTATTTAAATTGGTCACATAAATCTTTTTATTACATATTCACTTTTAAGAAACACTCACATTGAACTTATTGTCCTAACCTAGCACATTCCAAGACTTTAAAGTAAGTCATCAACACTTAAAACTGCTTAGTACATATTTACATCTTTGATATTATGATAATTGACAATAATAAAATAATATCAATATTAGACATAAACACTACAAATTCTAAGGTACATCTGGAAAGGTGATATTTTTCTAGATTATTTTATTCATGACTTGATAGTCCACTTAAAATTCATTCTAGGTAAAGGAGAGGATGTTGAAGAAAACACACTTCACTAGAATTTAGAAATCATAGCTAATATGGATTGGATTGGTTAGAAAACTATACAGGAGTGGAGATGTCTCATATGGTTTTAGTAAGATATCTGATACTTGGAAAAAGGAAAAAAGAAGCTTCATTTTCATTACAAGAAAAAGACTTAGAAAAAAATATGCGCACTATAGGAGGTATTGAGTAAAACGTTTGATTAGGATAGAAGGTTCCAGTTAGGCCAGGTGATGAACCATAAAACTATACAAAGAGATGTGGCACAGAAAGTTCAAGAAGTTCACTACCTAAGTTATGACCCCAGGCTCCTCTCAGCCCTTCAGAATATATGTCAACATAGAAGGAGCATGAATATTAACTTCACAGTGATTCCTTCAGGCCAGTTGACACGGAGCAAGAATAGCATTACGAGTTCTCTCCTGAGAAGCAGAGTATTTAACTACTATTCATGCCACAGTCTGTGTTAAATGTCAGGGCTGGAGGGAATACAGACATACAAAAGCTTGGTTGAAGAGGATTTTTTTCGTATGTAATTTAATTTGCTGTATTTTACGTGCTTATATTTCTTCTTCTGCAGATCACTTTCAGAAATAGGTAATCATGGTTATGGGTGAGAATTCGGAGTGATTGTCAAAATAAAAACTTGGCAGTTATATCTACCAAGGTTTTCTGATTTCTTCTTACCAACTACTATTAGCCTGAGTATACACAGTATGGTATTTTGTCTAATAAAAATTTATTTTTCTGTCTTTTCATTCTATATGTCTCTTAGCAAATCCTGTGAGACGTGACTGGCCCTAACATGTAGTAGTTCTTTAATCCTGCAATATACAATATTAACCGGCTTTTGTTTTCAAATTGGAAGTGAATAAGTAAACTTGCAAAACAGGAAATATCTCATTCAGTAGCCTTTAACAATGGAAATATACAAGCTAAGACGCAGAGATTTAAAATGCGATGATTGTGAAATGTATTTTGCTGTTTTTGCTGAAACAGTGAGTTTTTAAAATCAACTTGGAAATTCTGGGTTGTGAGGATCCCTGAAATAATATTCTACAACAATGAAGACTATTTTATTGACACATATACACTGTACTTTTATAGCCTTAAAATAACTAATATTAGATCAAAATTGTGTGTTCATTTGTCTCAGGATGTATCTCATCTAATAAATTAGGAGAGCAAGTACTAAGTACAGTTCTCTCATTGTTCTATCTTGAAAACAAATACAAAACTCACCTTAGCGACATTAAATGACTGCTGAATGCAAGAATGAATGAGTAAATGATCTGCTGTCACATAGCTAAAAATCTGGGGCAGAGAGTAGACAAATGACAAGGTAGGCACACATTTGATGTTATACACACATACCTTAGATAGTAGAGACTTCTGTAGGAGTATAAGGAGGAACAATTAAGGCAAGCTAACAAATTAAAGGAGACTATTATGAGTAACACAGCTGCCAGAGGAGTGTGTTTGTGATGACAGGTGTTTTCCTGGTTAAGGAGTATCTTTGTAAAAGCCCTCAAGTGAGCACATAAAAAGCATTTTCTAAGACCTGAGCATTGATAAAGAGAGAGTCACTAAAGGAGGTTAGAATTTAACAGTATTTAGGCTATCAAGGGACAATTTTATACAGTCTTCCCTTAACCAGCTGGTTGAAATTATGTTGATGTTGCTTGGGAGTAATTAGGAGGTTATAGGAAAGCCAGGGGAGCATGATGTCACATTGAAAGATGGGGTGTTACATATACCAAAAAAGTGCATTAAAATAAGAACTGCCAATGGTCATTCTGTGTGTGTGTGTGTGTGTGTGTGTGTATTCACACACTTTTAATGACCTGTAATGATGAAAATACCACATTTACATGGCAGCAAGTTGAGAATAAGTAAGAGAATAAGTTAAGAATAAGTAAATGGGAAGTAAATAAAGAAAGCAGATATGCAGGCATTTTAAAAAATTGGAGTGGTATGAAGAGAGAATAGGCAGTGGATGGAGGAAAACATGAGATCAAAGGAGAGCTATTTTGATTTCCATTAATTGGTTTTACAAAAGAGAAGTGAACTGTGCATGTGTAAAACATGATTAGAAAGAGCCCATAGAGATGACAGAAGCTGAACATAAAACAAAGAGAGGGAAATTGAGGGGATCATTAAAGGAGAAGCTTTTCATATAAGCAAGTAGAAACAAAATATAATTAATAGTTACTTGGAATTGACTGAAGAGCCACCTATTTTATTGTGAAAATAGTACATTTGAAAAGAACATGAACATAGACATGTATGTTGGTAAGCAGGTAGGTTAGTAGTACCATAATGTGTACGTGTGTGAGTGTTTGTTACACTTGTATATGGCTTCTATTTTTGTTTTAAGGTAGAATGGAGAGTTGGCTGCTGAAAGCAGAATATTAGGTAGGAGAGGTTTACAGTAAAAGGAGATGTCTGATAACCAGTGTGGAGCATGTGACACTTAACAAAGATGGGTAAAAGATGTGCTAGTTGGCTTTCAGACTTTTATTGGTGCTAGATATCATGAATTTATAACAGAATCAATCCGAGTGAGTGATTTGCTTTAATAATTTTTTGCCTCTTAGATAAAAAGAGGTAGCTATATAATTGGAATTGCACCAAAAACGTGGAAAAGCAGGTGGGTAAGTTTGTTGCAATAAAGAGACTGGCTGGAATGCCACTGGGAAAAAATTGGATAGAGGGAAACGTAATTATCGTAAGTGAGACTGGCAAACTGGCTGATCATCTCCCAGAAACAGAAATTGGATGAGATAGATGAAATGCGCCAAATGAGAGAAGGCACAAAGGTGTGAGGTTTCTGTGACATAATATTTATATTCATATGTATCCAATTACATCCATAGTTATATCTATTGAATTCAATGGTTATTGGAATAAATGTTTTGAGTCATCATAAAATGGTCAAATGGAAATGCGTGAATTTCAGTAAAACGACATGGAATACTGCATTAGATGGATTGCCCATGTGGTGGCTGAAGTGACCCAGAGTTTGAGAATTGGACCAAGAAAGTGCACTCTGAGCTTTCCCTTACATAACCTTGGGGATGGATATTAACGAAGAGGATGTTGAATACCTTGGCTGCACCAGGCTTTCATATACTATTGTAGTTGACTACACATAACAATATTCTGAGGTTATTATTATTTTCTGCATCTTATAGATAAGGAAACAGATGATTAGTCAAGTTTCCCCCATTAAATGAGGCGTTAGAACTTGAACCATGACGATTTGATTCTTAAATGAATACCCTTTTTTATTGTTCCCATGTCACCTTTCAAAAAAATTAGAGCAGATAAAAGGTAAAATGGACAACATCCTTGCTTTCATGGAGTTCACAATTCAGTTTGGGCAGACAATATATATATATATATATATATATATATATATATATATATATATATAATAGACTATGATTTTTATTCTAATAAATAAATAAATATTGCATAAAGACATAAAATTTCTATTTATGTTTCAAAGTTCAATGGAGAGATGTTAGGGTGTAATAGAAATACCTTAAAATTTAGACTCAGAGTATGGACTAGGCAACCAAGTAGCTCTGTGACCTTCGCCAGGTTAATTGTCTGTTCATGTAAAAAGCAATGATAACTTCCGACTTGAAAAATTATTGTAAAGATTGTAAAATAATGGAAAATTAAGCTTTCATTTTACTGTCTTAGAGAGAATAGGCATCAAGTAAATGATTACATTACTGGCCCCTACCGTGAATTACTTTTTTTTTTTTTTTTTTTTTGAGATGGGGTCTTGCTCTGTCACCCAGGCTGGAGTGCAGTGGCGCAATCTCGGCTCACTGCAAGCTCTGCCTCCCGGGTTCACGCCATTCTCCTGACTCAGCCTCCCGAGTAGCTGGGGCTACAGGCGCCCGCCACCTCGCCTGGCTTTTTTTTTTTTTTTTTTTTTTTTTTTGTATTTTTAGTAGAGACGTGTTTTACCGTGTTAGCCAGGATGGTCTCAATCTCCGGACCTCGTGATCTATCCGCCTCGGCCTCCCAAAGTGCTGGGATTACAGGCATGAGCCACCACGCCCGGCCTGAATTATATTCTTAAAAGAAATAGATTTATTTTTGTATCAGCACATGTACTAATTGACAATAGTGGGAATATAATATAAACAATACAATTTTGAAATGTTTTATTATTTCAGAATGTATTTTTTTAACTTTTAACTTCAGCAGTACATGCGCAGATTTGTTACACAGGTAAACTTGTGTCATGGGCTTTGTTGTACATATTATTTCATCACCCACGTATTAAGCAGAGTACTCATTTGTTATTTTTCCTGATCCTCTCCCTCTTGCCACTCTCTACCCTCCAGTAGGCCCAGTTCCTTCTATGTGTCCATATGTTCTCATTATTTAGCTCTCACTTATAAGTGAGAACATGTGGTATTTGGTTTTCCGTTCTTGCATTAGTTTGGGAAGAATAATGGCCTCCAGCTCCATGCATGTCCATACAAAGGACATGATCTTGTTCTTTTTATGGCTGCATAATATTCCATACACATTTTATTTATCCAGCCTATTATTATTGATATGCATTTAGGTTGACTCCATGTCTTGGCTAGTGTGAATAGTGCTCCAAGAAACATACCCATGCATGTGTCTTTATAGTAGAATGATTTCGTTCCTTTGGGTATATACCTAGTAATGGGACTGCTGGGTAGAATAGTATTTCTGTCTTTGGGTCTTTGAGGAATTGCCATACTTTATTCCACAATGTTTGAACTAATTTACACTCCCACTAACAGTATGTAAGTGTTTCTTTTACTGTGCAACCTCGCCAGCATTTGTTAAAATATTTTTTGACTTTTCAGTAATAGCTATTTGGAATGTATTTAATTGCCACATTCCTCCTTTTACTATACTAATCTTATGTAAAATTATTATTTATTATAATGTCTTTATTATTTGATTATAAGTCTAGTATTATGGCCGGGCGCGGTGGTGCACACCTGTAATCCTAGCACTTTGGGAGGCCGAGGCTGGCAGATTGCCTGAGCTCAGGAGTTTGAGACCACCCTGGGCAACATGGTGAAACTTCGTCTCTACTAAAATAGAAAAAATTGGCCGGGTGTGGTGGCCCATGCCTGTAGTCCCAGCTACTCGGGAGGCTGAGGCAGGGGAATTCCTTGAACCCAGAAGGCGGAGGTTGCAAGGAGCTAAGATCGCGCCATTACACTCCAGCCTGGGCAACAGAGGGAGACCCTGTCTCCAAAAAAACAAAAAAAAGTCTAGTATTATGTAAATATCAACTGAATTAGACTGGTTAACCTAAATAAGACTGCTTAAATATAAAAAATCAAATCAATCTTTGAAAAGTCTAAGATAATATTTATAACTTATAATGCCAGAGGTTAACGCTATAAATTGGTTTAAATGACCATTAATTAATATTTGTGTCAGTTCTGTTAGATCCAACTATCAAGGATGTGAATTAATTTCACCCATGTGGAAACATACCTTTACATACGTATAACATGCATCCATATACATTTGGCAATGTGCATTCAAAACATTTTACATGAATAGGCTGGTGAGGAAAAGAAAGTAAAGTGGAAATGATAATTGCCATACTTAGTTGATAAATTGAGAATAATAACATTAACAGGTTAGTTAAAACTGTTTTATATTAGTTTCAAATACTTTTTCAATATAATTAAAATAAGCTAGACTGTAGTACTAATTATGGCTTGGAGGTTTATTTGGTTTTTGCTTTACATCTTGCATAAATGATTTTAAACAATATGAAATATGCCTGCTAAAAATATTATATTAAAATCCGTATTTAATATGTCATTGCTACAAAAATTAGAAGGGAAAATATGATTTTGTTAACACACCAATACAGCCAAGATGAAGTTCTTGTAAAGTAGAATTAGGCAGCGTATTAGCCTCTATAATTTGATGGATAACTGTCAAAAATAACTGTTTTTGACATTTTTATGCATAAATAATTTTTACTTAGTTAACACAATTGTATCTCACAGGATAGGAAAGAAGCATTTAATATAAAATAATGGTGGTGTTGTCCATGAGGAGTTAACTATCTTATAAACTAAACTACAATAGCAGAATTCGGAGCAAAAGTAACAACAAGAAATGATCGTTTCATGTGCTATTTATCTGTTAGGCATAAATTCAATTTAGAATTGTTTGTCAGTCGTTGATGCCTAAAGTAATATGCCCATTAGGAAGCATGCAATTCAATCAACGTTTCTTCTGACCTTGGAAAGATAATGACCCAAATATGAATATTCAAGAGACACCAGAAGTCATTATAGATGTCCTTAACTTGTTTTTCATTTTTAAATCTGAACAAAATGTTTCTCATGCTTAAGGAAAAAATGGAAAATTTGAATGTAATTAATACATAACAGTCTCGATTTTGGCATATTTTTACTTTATAAACTCTTCATCAAACTAACTGCTAGACAGATGAAAACTATACTTGGCAAGAGAAATCATTTTACACCTAAGAAGATACATGTTGGTATTGCCATTTGATGCAAGATGGGTTTTTATTGTTGGGAGATTCTGAGTCACATTTGTAATGCATCTAGTATATCTTTTATACACTTTTTTCGTATTTAGGGAATGCATTTGGTAGTTTTCTTCAATAACAATATTTTCTTATCTTCAACAACTTAAACTAATGTGAGATACAGTATTTTCTTATTCATTTTGTGAAAACTTCCATATATTCCTAATGGATTACTTTGCTCAACAGAACACAATGAAAAATTAATATTGAAGTAAAACTTGTCTTATCATTTTTTGAATCATAAAATGCTATAAAATTATAATTAAAAACACTGTGAAGTCAAATGTTGTATTGATTTAGATTAAAGAACATATTTGAAAATATCATCTACAAATATTTTAGTAATGTGATATTCTCTCCTGTGTAGTGTTTGAGTCTTTCACAAATCACAGTATATTTTGATTAAATAGAAAGAATATCACTTTTTTTTAACATTTTTAAATGTAGGGAATCATCTGCAGAAACTTAATTTTCTCTTATAATAGGAATAAGTCATGATATCTAGGTCTAAAATGAAAGGCAAAATTCAGTTTTTTTCAATAAATAAAAATCTAGTAATGTCTAGATTAAATATTCTTTTTCTTGATTTTCTACAGCTGTGTTTCCCCTGAAGTTATGTGAAAAGCATTTGTGGATTTAACAGAGTTAAGGTGAGAGGGTAGGGAAATAACAGCTAAGAAAAAGAACACGTATCTCGTTTTCATGAAGTTTAAATATCAAACTGACTTTTTCACTTTATTTTATTTCAAATAATATTCTAAATTGTGGAACTCTTGTCAAGGACTTTGAAACACATGCATTGCATGCTACAGACACAGTATGTGAAGTCTCCTCGTATCAGACAAGACGAAAAGCTTATGGTTTCTTGATTCTCCATTATTCCATTACGTGTAAATGGTAACATGGGATTTAAATATGCAGCTTATTTTAAGGATCTTGGATTTGTAAATGATAGTGGCAACTGTAGAAGTTAGTAAAGCGTGGTGCTCAATGGGTAGGCTCTGAATATTGATGGCCAGGCCGCAAGCAATTTTGAGCTGAGTATTTTGGCAGGTTATTTAACCATCTCATACTGTACTTCATCTGTAAAATGGGTGTCATCTTACTTGAACATTCTCAGAAGCGTGATAGGGTGGCAAAATTCTGTACTATATATTATTTAGAGCATTCCCTGACAGATAATGAGCAATCACTGGCAGAGAGTCATTATTTTCTTAATTCACTACCTTGATGTGGAAAGGTAAGTCTCACATCGAATCAGAATTGCATGTGGTTTCAGAACTATCATTTTTTTTTTACATGTAAATATTTGCTTGCCAATGCTTGGGGGAATTATTTTTTTAATTTTTAATTTTGTATTTATTTCAATAGGTTTTTGGTGTGCAGGTGGTGTTTGGTTACAAAGTCCCCGAAGTCCATTGTATCATTCTTATTCATTTGCCTCCTCATAGCTCAGCTCCAACTTATGAGTGAGAACATACAATGTTTGGTTTTCCATTCCTGAGTTACTTCACTTAGAATAATGGTCTCCAATTCCATCCAGGTTGCTGCAAATGTCATTATTTTGTTCCTTTTTATGTCTGAGTACAATTCCATGGTGTATATACATATATAGATAGATACATTATATATATAGATACATTATATATAGATAGATACATTATATCGATATAATGTATCTACATTATATCGATATAATGTATCTACATTATATCGATATAATGTATCTACATTATATCGATATAATGTATCTACATTATATCGATATAATGTATCTACATTATATCGATATAATGTATCTACATTATATAGATAGATACATTATATAGATATAATGTATCTACATTACATAGATAGACATAATGTATCTACATTACATAGACAGACATAATGTATCTACATTACATAGACAGACATAATGTAGATACATTACATAGACAGACATAATGTAGATACATTATATAGACGGATATAATGTAGATACATTATATAGACGGATATAATGTAGGTACATTATGTCGACGGATATAATGTAGGTACATTATGTCGACGGATATAATGTAGGTACATTATGTCGACGGATATAATGTAGGTACATTATGTCGACGGATATAATGTAGGTACATTATGTCGACGGATATAATGTAGGTACATTATGTCGACGGATATAATGTAGGTACATTATGTCGACGGATATAATGTAGGTACATTATGTCGACGGATATAATGTAGGTACATTATGTCGACGGATATAATGTAGGTACATTATGTCGACGGATATAATGTAGGTACATTATGTCGACGGATATAATGTAGGTACATTATGTCGACGGATATAATGTAGGTACATTATATAGATAAAATATATAGAGATACATTATATTTAATGTGTATATATATAATGTATCTATGTGTGTGTGTGTGTGTGTGTGTGTATGTGTGTGTGTATAGTATTTTCTTTATCCACTCATTGATTGATGGGCATTTGGGCTGGTTCCATATTTTTGCAATTGCAAATTGTGCTGCTATAAACATGCGTGTGCAAGTGTTTTTTCATATAATAGTGTGTTTTCCTCTGGGTATCCAGGTAGATACCCAGTAGTGGGATTGCTGGGTAGATCTACTTTTAGTTCTTTAAGGAATTTCTACATGGTTTTCCATAGGGGTATACTAGTTTACATTCCCACTCACAGTGTAAAAGTGTTCCCTTCTCACCATACCAATGCCAACATCTACCAACATCTATTATTATTTATTTATTTATTTATTTATTTTGAGACAGAGTCTTGCTCTGTTGCCCAGGCTGGAGTAGAGTGGCACGATCTTGGCTTACTGCAACCTCTGTCTCCTGGGTTCAAGTGATTCTCGTGCCTCAGCCTCCCAAGTAGCTGGGACTACAGGCATATGCCATCACGCCTGGCTAATTTTTTGTGTTTTTAGTAGAGACGGGGTTTCACCATGTTAACCAGGATGGTCTCAATCTCCTGACCTCATGATCTGCCCACCTCGGCCTCCCAAAGTGTTGGGATTACAGGCGTGAGCCACCGCGCCCTGCCTATTTTTGATTTTTTGATGATGGTCATTCTTGCAGGAATAAGGTGTTATCACATTGTGGTTTTGATTTGCATTTCCCTGATAGTTAGTGATATTGAGCATTTTTTCACATGTTTATTGGCCAACCTTTGGGATGGCCAGCCTCCAGGCTATAACCCTTTATACAAAATAAAGCTCTCTTCTGTAAATGTATGAACCTCGGGATTCTTGGTCTAAAGAAAGATAGCATAGGCCACTGATTTAATTTTTTTTATTTCAAACAGAAAAAATGCAAATAATTTAGAAGTTAATAGTAAAGATAGAAAAAAGCTGATTGCAAATATAGCATTATCAATCGTAATACAGAATGATTTTCTAAAAGTTCTAAGATATAAAGATAAAACAGGAAAAAGATAAAAGTGTAACTTTTTTAATATTCTTGTCTAAAATGTGTGTGTGTCTGTGTGTATAAATTTAACACGTTTTACTAACATTTTATATTAAAAACTAGATGTTCAATGGAGTCGAAATCATTTCATTATAATACTAATTCTCTTTTAACAAGAAAATTACAGGAAGCAACTGAAACCAATCTTTTCCTACATGATTTGAAATTTTGTTGCCTATAAATCGCCTCACTCAATTACATTTTTAACTTTTTTTGTAAAATGTTGTATTCCGCTTATTTTTGAATATGTATAAGTATGCTGTTTAAAAGATGTGTATGCGTGTTTGTATGCTTAAATATATAAGCATACAACCACTGACACTGACTCAACAATGTCAGCCCTTATTTACAATTCTACCTATTTAAATGAAATCAAGTCAAAATCAAATTCCTGGGAAAGTATGATATAGAACTGCTATTTCGTCTCTTAGAGAACCCATCGTTTTAATACCAGAAATCTCTAATAACCAATCAGCAACTTTGGCAAATCCAACAATATTTTCTATCTTTCCCTTCTCAACTACTCCACTGCATTTGAATTAGTTATTTAGAGTCAAGTATTTGAGGGGTGACTTTGACACAAAATAGCCTTTAACCTACTTTCTGTGTAACTTTAGAGATATCACACATATTCCCCATGTTAAGAAAAATGATCAATGCTACATACAGATGTTCTAAAAAATACTGAAATGTTTCCAGTTTCTGGGTAACATTAAATTTGTAATATTTAATTAAAGTTGTTATACTTACTGTAGTTAGTGTTAATGATATTATTGACCAAATCATTCACCTTTGAAATTTTTCCTTTGGCTTTTTTGATGCTATTTTTATCCTGCCTCATCTTTGAATTGATAGTTTTCTTAGAACAACTCTTATGCTTTCACACTATATATATGCTATATGTTTTCTTATAACCTTTTTAGATTCACTCTTGACTATTCTCAAGTCAGTTCTGTGGCCGAGAGCACTGACTTTAATGGGCAGCCTCAACAGTCTCCCTGACACTGTGTCTATTAATTGGCTTTAACTAGGCTGGGAAGCTGATTCCTCTGACACACTCCCTGTCAGATCACTCCACGTTTGCTGTGTCTCTTTACCAAAGATGACAACTTCATGGGCAAGCCCTATCCTAAAAAATGTTCTTTCCTACTCTCTGAGGTGTAGGGTAGAGAAGCTCTTACTATTGTTGTCCCTGAGATCCCCTATTACTTGCAGTTTTCATGCTACCTACTCATTTTAAAATGGCTTCTTTCTTAAACAATTCTCAATTACTTTTTATATGTGCTATCTCTTTTTCACCAGAACTCTAACTCATAGGATAACTGGTACCAGAGTGGTACAGAAAGGGAAACCTCTAAAAGTTATATTAGAACAATTAACTAAGAGTGCCATTTATGATCTGCTAGTTCCCTAATTCCATGCCTAGATTCACTGTTGCCTGGAGTAAAGGAGGTTGGATGCTTGAATTACTGTTTTTTAATACAGAAATAAACTAAAAGGCTTACAGTGAGGAAATTTTTGAAACTGATCTATTGTGTTTCTTGCTGCCTCCTAACATGGCCCCTGAAGGACCCGGTGGTTACATTCCTTACCCTTTGTCAGGTAACTCATTGGAGAGGTAGTCACCAACTTTGCTGGAATAGCAAAGTTGTGGTGGAGGCAGATGAAGGTAAATGAAGGCAATATAATGTTGAGTTTTTTTGTTTTTTTTTGTTTTTTTTTGACAGGGTCTCACTTCATCACCTAGACTGGAGTACAGTAGCACAGTTGCAGCTTCCTACATCTTGACTTCCTGGGTTCCAGTGATCCTCCCCCTTCAGCCTCTCAGGTAGCTAGGAAAGTGGAGTTCTTAATCTCAATAGAAATATCGAGATTAGAATTGAAGACAGGTTTCTATGCTTAAACAGCAAAGACAGAGAAACTTAATTATTATAGCAAGTAACAGAACCAAACCAAAGTTATTCTCATAGCTTTTTGATCAGCAGGGATCTGACTGATAGCTGCTTGATGTTGTGGTCTCTATGAACCAAACGGATGAGCAGCCTAGTAAGATTCTGCTTTATATATGTAATCAGAAAACTTCTAAGCCTGGAGAGGCAAAAATCAAACAAGACATTATAAATTGCATGTAACCTCACTTATTCAATCAACTGGACACATAGAGAAGCCTTACATTGTAAAATAGAGTTGGCAAAAATTTAATCTAGGCTTGAAGACTATTAAACTGCATGAGCAAAGTCTCAGACCAGTGGCATTCTGGCAGTGTTCCACAAACTACAGGGAGTAAGTAGCCCTGATTAGGAGCATTTGTGGATTTCCATAATATAATACTCCTAACTTGGTCAATACTTGGAGATAGGAAGAGATATACATAATTGGATGGTGGAAGCCAGTGCAAGCTAGATCCAGCACACAACTGGATCAGACTCATGTGCTACACACTGACACTGGCTTTATTGCCAATTAACAGAAGCCTAGCTTACAGATTAATTAAGAAATGACTGATAATCAAGTAGTCAGGGGATGGCAAACTATGCCTATAAATTAAATCTGCTACCTTGTTTGCATAAATTAAGTTTTATTGAAATGCAGCCACATTTATTCATTTGTGTATTCTCTGTGGCTGCTTTTGTACTTGGAACCACAGAGATGAGTAGTTGTAATAGAAATCACATAGACAGCAAAGCCTTAAATATTTATTTTCTGGCTCTTCACAGGAAAAGATTTGCTAATTCCAAAAATAGGTTAAAAACAAAACTCAATAGCTGGGTGATGAAATAATTGGTACAACAAAACCCCATCATGGGGTCTACCTACATAACAAATCTGCACATGGATCCCTGAACTTAAAATAAAAGTTAAAACAAAAACAAAACTATTTCAAAGACATATAGATGCAACCCAAACTCTTTACCTTGCCACAATAGTCTTGATCAAAGAGTCTACAGGAAAATTTGTCATAGTGACAGAAATGGACGTTATGCATGGATTGGCCAAGATCCTGCTATTCCCAAATGTCCAACTGTCTGAAAATACTGGCCAACACCTAGCCTCTCATAGGACAGTTTTTGTAGAAGGTTCAGATTGCAAATGAGCTATGTAGGATCCTTTCCATGATGGACAGAGTAGCAATTTGCCAGCAAAATAAATAAATAAATAAATAAACACAGAGGGAGCTGGAGGAAAATGGCTGAATAGAAGCAAATGTTATTGGAGGTAAAGAGAGAGATAGACTCCAATAAAATAATAGCTGGAGACTTCAAAACCATACTTTCAACATTGGTTAGATCATCCAGACTGAAAATCAACAAAGAAACATCAAATTTAGTCTGTACTGTAGACCAAATGGAACTAACAGGTATTTATAGAACATTTAATACATGTTATTTTCCTCAGCACATGGACCATTCTCAAAAATAGACCATACATTAGGCCACAAAAAGTCTTAAAAATTCAAAAAATTGAAATTATATCAAGTATCCTTCTGGATCATAATAAAAAAACTAGAAACTAATAATAAGAGAAATTTTGAAACTATACAAACATATGGAAATTAAACAATATGCTCCTGAATGACCCAGGGGTCAGTGAAAAAACTAACAGGAAAATTTTAAAAAATTATTGAAACAAAGGAAAATGGAAACACAACATACTAAAACCTGCAAGACACGGCAAAGCAATACTAAGGAAAGTTTATAAGGATAAGCACCTCTATCAAAAAAGGCAGAAAAACTTCCAATAAATAACCTAATGATGCATTTTAAAGAACTAGAAAAGCAAGAGCAAACAAATCTCAAATTTAGCAGAAGAAAAAAATAATAATAAAGATGAGAGCAGAAATAAATGTAATTGAAATGAAAAAATACTGAAGATAAAGAAAAGGTTTGTTTCTTTTTTTTTTTTTGGCAAGATAAATATAATTGTTAAACCTCTAGTTAGACTAGGAAAAAAGAGAGAAGACACAAATAAAACCAGAGATGAAAAATAGGACATTAGAACCAATCCTGCAGAAATTCAAAGGATCATTAGAGGCTACTATGAGCAAGTATATTACAGTACACTGAAAAACCTTGAAGAAATGGATATGTTTCTAGACACATAAAACCTACCAACATATAACCAAGAAGAAATCCAAAACCTGAACAGACCAATAACAAGTAATGAGATTGAAGCTTTAAGAAAAGTCCCAATGGCAAAGAAAAGCCTAATGCTCAATGGCTTCACTGTTAAATTTTACAAAACATTTCAAGAAGAATGAATACCATCTTACTCAAACTATTCTGAAAAATAGAAGATGGGGGAATACTTCCAAGCTCATGTTATGAGGCCAGTGGCAAGCTGAAATCAAAACCAGACAAGGCTACATAAAAAAAAAAATAACCTACAAGCCAATGTCCCTGATGAACATTTATGCATAAGTCTTCAACAAAATGCTAGCAAATCGAATTCAACAACATATTGGAGAAATCATTCATCATGACCAAATGGAATTTATTCCAGGGATGCAAGGATGGTTCAATATATGCAAATCAACCAATGAGATACATCATATCAACAGAATGAAGGACAAAAACCATATGATCTTTTCAATTGACCCTTAAAAGGCATTTGATAAAATTCAACATCCCTTCATAATAAGAACCCTCAAAAAAGTGGATAATAGAAGGAACATACCTCAACACAATAAAAGGCATATATAACACACCCACAGCTAGTGGAGTATCCATACTGAATGGAGAAAAACTGAAAGCCTTTTCTCTATGACCCGGAACCTGATGACAATGCTGACTTTCACCACTGTTACTCAAAATAGTACTGGACAAGTATTCAACGAGTCCTTGCTAGAGCAATCAGACAAGAGAAGTAAACGGCATCCAAATTGGAAAGGAAAAGGTCAAATCATCCATGTTTGCTGATAATATAGTCCTATATTTGGAAAAAACTAAAGATTTCATGAAAAAACTACTAGAACTGATTTTAAAAATTCAGTAAAATTCCAAGATATAAGAATCAACATACAAAAATCTTGAACATTTCTATATGGCAACAGTGAACAATCTGAAAAATAAATCAAGAAAGTAATATCATTTACAATAGCTACAAATAAAATAAAATATCTAGAAATAAACTTAACCAAACAAGTGAAAGATCACTACAATAAAAACTATAAAACATTGATGAAGGAAATTTAAGGGAACACAGAAAAATGGAAAGATATTCTTTGTTCATATATTAGGTGAGTCAATATTGTTAAAATGTCCATACTATCCAAAGCAATCTACTGATTCAATGCAATTCCTAACAAAATACCAATGATGTTCTTCACAGAAATAGCAAAACTAATCGTAAAATTATTATGAAACTACAAAAGACCCAGAACAGCCAAAGCCATTGTGAGAAAAAAACAAAACTGGAGGAATCACATTACCTGACTTCAAATTATACTACAAAGCTATAGTAATCAAAATAACATGATACTGGCATAAAGACAGGCATGCAGACCAATGGCAAAGAGTAGAGAATGCAGAAATAAATTCTAGTCTCAAACTCCTCCTGGTCTCAAGTGATTCACCAGCCTCAGCTTCACAAAATGTTGGGATTACATGTGTGAGCCACTGTGCCCTGCTGCACTTTCATGTTTATTGTAGCACTGTCCACAATAGCTAAGATTTGAAAACAACCTAAGTATCCATCAACAGATTAACGGATAAAGAAAATGTGGTATATATACTCAGTGGAGCACTATTCAGCCATAAAAAGAATGAGATCCTGTCAGTTGCAACAACATGGATTCAACCTGAGGACTTTATGCTAAGTGAAATAAACCAGACACAGAAAAACTTCAAGTACTCTCACTTATTTGTGGGAGCTAAAAATGAAAATAATTGAACTCATGAAGATAGAGTGTAGAATGATGGCTACCAGAAGCTGGGAATAGTAGCCTTGGGTGTGAGGGAGTGGGAATAATTAATGGGTATAAAAATTTTGTCAGAAAGAAAGAATAAGAGCTACTATTTGATAGCACAGCAAGGTGACTACAGTCAACAATAATATATTGTACATCTTAAAATAACTAAAAGAGTATAATTGGATTGTTTGTGATGCAAAGAAAGGACAAATGTTTGAAGTAATTAGTACCCCATTATCCTGATGTGATTATCATACATTGTATGTCGGTATCAAAATATCTCATGTACGCCATAAATATGTAGAATACCATGTACTCACAAATTTTTTTTTAAATAGACATATTACTTTGGTTGCAGATTTGCCTTCTTCTGCAATGTTTCTGCCATCCTCATTATTTTTGGAATTGTAGAATACTAGCTAACATTCTTACTTTATAGAGAAAGTAGTGTGACAATGTACTCCAACATAGGAGTTTAACATTTTCAGTGCTCCAATGCCATAGGGAAGCTGGCTTGATAAAAGGGCAGAATGTCTTGTGGAGGTTCCCATTATAGTCCCAGTTGGAAGACACCTGGGAAGCTTTTGCTTGATGCCTTAAATAAAAGCCAATATATGGCCTCACATCCCTAGTCAGAATGTGTAGGTATGAACGACAGGATAAATTTGACAGTAGTTCTTCTCCTTATGACACCAAATACCCCATTGAATAAATGTTTGCTCTCTTTTCTCACAAACTTTGGTTCAGTTAGTGTGAAGGTCTTAGTTACCAAGGGAGGAATGTTTCTACTAATACCCATATATTGCTTTGTTTTTCTGTTAAATTGTAAATTAAGGCTATTTACTGGCCTCTAACAACAGACAGAAAGATGGTTAGCACAGCAATAGAGCCTGATTCCCAAGAGGAACTTTTATTGTTTTTATATAGTTGCAGTAAAAAAGACCATGTTTGGAATCCAGATTATTCAGTGAAACACTTTTTGAGAGTCACTAGTGTAGACTGGTTAAAGTACAGAAATCCAGTGAACATAGATCACTGTTGTCTCAGATTTCACATAAAGGATTGGGTTTTGTCTTCATGTACTCAATTCTCTTAAGGTGCTGGAAGAATTTAAGACACAATGGCAATGAAGGAAGTTATTATTATCAACTTAGACATTGTTGTGATACAGAAACAAAGACTATAAGAATGTGTTTTATTTTACTTAAATATTTGTTTCCCTAGTAGCTTATTTGAAAGTCACTGATGATGACTAACACATTAAGATTGAGGAATGAGTATAATGAGTATGACTGAATTGATACTACCACACAACATTATAGTAGTTGATCTGACTCTGTATGCCCTGTGTTGGGAGACAGAATGTGTTTTGCCTGGCATAGTATCAAATTCACCTGTGCTAGAGGGTTTCCTTCTGACTCTTCACAGCCCTACTCCTCTTCTTCATTTCCGTTCTGTTGAGTGTCCAGTGAAGCTAACTTTTCTGGACTTCACCAATGAGTTCTTTGTCCTCTGGCATTTCGGGGAGTTTATACCATAGAATTATTGGCAGGATATCAGAAAGAGGGAAGAGATCATATTTGGCCTATCTACTCCTGCAATCCTCTCCATGCCAGATCACCAAGCCTTGGGAAGCCCAATTTCATAATATCTCCAGATTCTCAAAATATTGTTCTCCTCTCTATATAATTAATAAAAAGACTCTGCTTTTGTTATGTGCTCTATTCTCTTTAGTTATACAAGATGTTTCAAAGGGCTAGTAAAAGTTAAAAATAAATAAAAGATAATTTAACATAAATTGTTATACTGTGTAGCTATACTGTTTTAGATGCTGTGGAAATCTGTATGAAGGTGTCATTGGCATAATTTTCATAGTTTCTATCATTATTGATCTAACCAGCTACTGCAAAAGACAGAACTATGAAAATAAAATACTTTAAATATGACTATATGAAGGGTTGATTGTTTAGAATAACAATCAGATCTAGAGACCTTGTTATGAAGTCATTGCAATAGTCCCAGCAAGAATTGATGTGTAGAAAGACAAGCATGCTTGATGATTTTGGTATTGTTTTATAATGTCTTAGTAAGTACAATAAGATAAAAGGTAAATAATATTGAAAATGAGATAGCACTATTATTTTCTAGTGATAGACTTGACAACTTGGTATACTCAGGAGACTCAACCAAGTAAATATTAAAATTGAATTCAATAAAGAAGTCAGTTACCATCTGAATAACTTTACGTTAAAAACAAAGAGACTTTGCAGTTAGAATATGCTATTCACCACAGCAAACATGAATGTAATACAAAAAAAAATGGGGCTCTGGACTGCTGGGTAGGGCTGGCTTAGGTTGGAAGGCCTTCCAGAAACAAGATACTGTGGACTTCCTTAGGAAAAGCAGGAGTGAGGCTATTGTGTGTTTTACCTAGAGGCAATGGCAAATCTGTGACAATCAACTTGACTAAATGAGAAGAAATACATTTTGATTAGAGATTTTCTAGTGCAAATAATAAATTATTCTCAAACGATTTTATAAATATAATCATATTTAGTTTAAAATACCAGTAAAATCTTTAACCCAGCTCAGTCACTTTCTAAATAGTACATAGCCTTTAAAGTTACATGGATTTAGGTTGAAATATAAATTGAGCTATGTACCCTTGGGCATTTGGCTAAATTCTCTGATTCAATTTCCTACGTGGTCTAATAATCTCCTTTAGTTAATTAGGGAGTGTAAAATGTAAATGAGATCACATATATAAAATATCTAGTATAATGTTTGGAATTCAGAAAATGGTTTCTAAATGTTGATTTTGCCTTTTCCATCATAGGGTCCATGAATGAGAGACCTAAGAGTCCACCAAGGCTTGTGCTTCTTCTCATGGGGTTGTCTCTAGAATGTAGCTGCTCTGCCAGAGACTATATTCCCAATGCTTCCATGCAGCTGGTTAAGACCATATTACTAATTCTTGCCAATGGTATATAGATGTATTAGTCTGTTTTCACACTGCTAATAAAGACATACCCAAGACTGGGTAATTTATAATGGGAAGAGATTTAATTGACTCACAGTTCTACATGGCTGGGGAGGCCTAACAATCATGTCACTAGGCAAGGAGGAGCAAAGTCACATTTTACATGGCAGCAGGCAAGAGAGAGCGTGTGCAGAGAAACTCCCCTTTATAAAACCATCAGATCTTGTGATACTTACTCGCTATCACAAGAACAGCATGGGAATGACCAGGCCCTGTGACTCAATTACCTCCCACCGAGTCCTTCCCATGACACGTGGGAATTGTAGGAGCTAAAATTGAAGATGAGATTTGGATGGGGACATGGTCAAACCCTATTAATAGATCTAAGTGATATGCCTCTTGAGAACAGGAACACTAAAAATCAGTGTTCCAAAATTCAGTTTCAGCTCTGACATGGAAAGTGCTTGGAAAGTGTTGCTACTGGTTTTGCAACAAGGGAAGAAATGAACAAACCAAAATTAATTTATTTTCTTGGCTATACTAGAGAATTGAGGTTGCAGGACACACAGCAACCACAAAATTTGGAGACACAGGTAAATACAGATAATCACAGTCTGAATACACTTGCTGGGAGCAGAAGATGCTGTAACTACAAACTGGTATGAACACTTGAATAGTAACTTTGAGGAATTGCTGGGGGTAAAGTGTAGACTATTGTGATAGTGAGAAACTCTAGGTCCCCCCAAATTTCCATGGGTTTATTTCTAGTAACCCCAGAAGACCTTGGTAAATCCTCATGAAATACTCTATTTTTCTGGCAGGATAAGGGGAAAAATGACAATTTCTAATTTATCCAGAGAATTCCCCCAAACAAAGGCCTAATCAGCAAGGAAAATACTTTCCCAGAGGTTTATTTGTGTTAGTGAAAGAGAAAATACCCAACTCCACTTTTTTCAGCCTTCATATCTCACTTACAATGTGAAGAGGGAGGTTGAAGGTCACAGCACAGGTACACAGGCCATCTAAAATACCATAGTTGAATCACAAAATTACAGAATGCTTTCTGATCCCCCACATCACCAATCAACAGGGCATCAGCTGAAAGATGTAAAGGCACAACCCCCATTTAAGTAGGAGTTCTTAGGGAAGCCCAAAGACAACAGGGGAGACCAACTCAAGGACACTAGAGGAATTCAAAGCCTCTGACAGCTAGCTATAGCTACAGCAAACATTAAACACTGATTTAATCCTAGCTGGAAAAACATAAAGCCTCACATTAAAAGCCTTTACCTAAGTTATTATTACCAAATATATTATTTTAGGCCTTCGACAAAAATCTACAAGACACGCTAAAAGACAACAACAACAGCAAAAAGTCCAAAGAGGCAAAGAAATTATCAGAACTAGACTCCTATCAACAAATTTTTGAAATTATCGGACAAGAAATTTAAGAAAACCATGATCAGTACGTTAAGAATTTTAGTGAAAAAAAGAATACAACATGTGAACATGTGGTAATGTTAGTAGTGTTAAGAAAATGAAAAAAAAAGTTACAGACTGAGAAAAAAAATTTTTAAAACATATATATAATAAAAGGCTTATATCCAAAACTAAAAACAAATCTTTAAAAGTAAACAACTAAAAAAAAAACATAGGGCCGGGCACGGTGGCTCACGTCTGTAATCCCAGCACTTTGGGAGGCCGAGGTGGGCGGATCACGAGGTCAGGAGATCGAGACCATCCTGGCTAACACAGTGAAACTGTTTCTACTAAAAATACAAAAAAATTAGCCGGGCATGGTGTCGGGCGCCTGTAGTCCCAGCTACTTGGGAGGCTGAGGCAGGAGAATGGCGTGAACCCAGGTGGGGGATCTTGTAGTGAGCAGAGATTGCCCCACTCCACTCCAGCCTGGGCGACAGAGAGACTCCCTCTCAAGAAAAACAAACAAACAAAAAACACATGGTCAAAAGATCTGAACAGTTATAGACCAAAGAAGACATATTAGGTGGCAAACAAACCTACAAAAACATATACACTGTGACATTTTATTGGGAAAATGTAAAACAACAATGAAATACCACTACACACACAACAGAATGGCTAAAGTTAAAAACAAAACCAAAACAAACCTGACATTGACAATTTCAGGTGAGTATGCAAAACATTAACAGCTCTCATTTCTTTTGAGTGATATTACAACATAGAAAGTCCACTTCAGAAAACAGTTTGGGAGTTTCTTACAAAGTCAATATAGTCTTACTATACGATCCATCAAATATACTCCTTGGTATTTACCCAACTTACTTTAAAACCTATGTCTAGACAAAAACTTGCATGTGAATATTGTATAGCAGTCTATTCATAATTGCCAAAAACTAGAAATGATCAAGATGTTCTTCAATAAATGAAGAGATAAACAAACTATGATTCATCCATAGAATGGAATATTTTTCAGTGATAAAATGTCTGAACTCTTCAGTCAAGAAGACACCAATGAATCTTAGAAACAGTGAAAAGATTAGTGACAGGGCTTTGGGGAAAGGAAGAGGAGGAGGGACTGAATATGTAAAGCGCAGGTCATTTTTAAAATAGAGAAACTATTCTCTAGGATAATGCAAATGCAGATAAATGACACTATATATTTGTCAAAATCCATAGAATGTTACAGTATATTAAGTGAATCTTCATAACACGAATAGCAAAACAATCATTTAGGAAGAATAGAACACAGATTGTGACAAAATGATCCAACTGTATTATGAGTATACAAAACAGCCTCAATGTATAGAGTGAAGAGGAGGAGCAAGGTGTGGACCTAAGAAAATAATAAATTCTGTGTAACTGACAGCAAAAACACAGACTTAGGCACTGTATTCTAGCTGATAATGATATTTCTCAATAGATACCAGGTTAACAGCTCTAGTACTGCTATACATGTGTACTGAAATTGAACAGTTAAATAAATGGAGGACATCCACGTTTATCACTGATGGAGTGGGAGTTTACAGATAAGCAGGAGGAGGAGGCCAGAAAGATGCATGTGGTGATGGATTAGAATTGGAGACATCCTGCCCTCAAGGAGAGAGAACATAAAAGAACATAAATCCGCTTTTCATCAATGTGAGCTGCACCAACTTACCTCCTCCCAAAGAGCACAAAATAGAAAGGAACGAAAAGAAAAGAGCAACTTTACAGTGAAGAAACCTACAAACACTACCTCAGCCAGGTGATCAGAGTCAATATAAATGGTGATAAGAAGTGTTGATAATAGATACTCTTGATATATTGTGATGAAATGGCATTTTACTTCTGCATCCTTCCTCCTGAAAGCCCATAATCTCTGTCTAATAAGAAAAGAATAATAGACATTGCAATGAGGGAATATTCTACAAATTGTCTGACCACCGAAATTCATCAAAAACAAGGAAATTCTGAAAAACAATCACATCCAAGAATAGCCTAAAAAACATACCAATTAATGTAATTTGGTATCCTGTGTGGGATCATAGAACAGAAAAAGAACATTACAGATATGTACTTTAGTTAATAACACTGTATCAATATTGGTGAAATAGTTGTAATGAATACACTAATATAAGGCATTAATAGGGGAAGTTGTGTGCAAGGTATATAAGAATTCTATGTACTATCTTCTCAATTTTTCTCCAAACAAAAAAACTATCCTTAAAATATTTTTTAAGAAAAATAGTGTACAGAGAGTGTGTCTAATCCATGTGCTCAATCCCATCAGCAGAGAGAGAAAGAAAGCAGAGCTCTTTGAAGCAGAGAAAGAAAGCAGAAAGCAGAGATCTTTGAAGGCTTAAGAAACCATAAGGTAAAAGGAATCTTTGTGCTAGAGTCACCATACAGGCATCCTATAGATGTGTAATGACACACTGCACTACTGTTTGAGTATGAAACAAACATCTATTATATTAAGCCGTAAAAAAATTAGAGATTTTTAAGTTCCAGCAAGTAGAATTACTGTAAGAGATACAATCTTTCTGTGATGTTCACTCTCAAATATTTGGTTTTCCAGATGAATGGTTTTAAATTATTACAGACAATAAAATATATCCAAAAACTGGCTAAAAGTATGGGTATGTAAAAGATAAAACTATAATTTTGTAATTCCACTGATCTTTCAAAAAATAAAATTAAGCTGGTTTTAAAAGTTAGGCATTTTGCTAATCTCTGGGGATACAGTGTTGAAAAAACACAGTATCTTGCCATTAGTGAAGGACAGTCATCAGGAAGGAGAAGAAAAGAGGAATGAGGTGATGATGTTTGAGAAGAGAACAGGACCCTGGGCAAATCCATGTATAAGGTTATTTGTTGACATGAAAAAAGTACTATAGAATGAAATCTAAAGTTTTATCATGTTATTTCTTCCTCAAATTTCCTGTGTCTATTTCAAAATTTAATAATAATGACAAGGGATAGAGTTTCTAAAGAATATCAGGGATATATAAATATTTATTTCCTTGGGATTTTTAACACATGTATAACTTCCAAAAGAAAGAGAAATGTCAGCTGGACGCGGTGGCTCATGCATGTAATCCCAGCACTTTGGGAGGCCAAGGCGGGTGGATCACGAGGTCAGGAGTTCAAGACCGGCCTGGCCATGATGGTGAAACCCCATCTCTATTAATAATACAAAATTTAGCTGGGCATGGTGGCAGGCGCCTGTAATCCCAGCTACTCGGGAGCTGAGGCAGAGAATTGCTTGAACCTGGGAGGCGGAGGTTGCCGTGAGCCGAGATCGTGTCACTGCACTCCAGCCTGGGCGACAGAGCAAGACTCTGCCTCAAAAAAAAAAAAAAAAAAGAAAGAGAAATGTTGATTGGTAATATATGAGGGGGAAAAAGAGAAAATAATAATAATTCATCTTCAAATTATATCATTTGTGGGTCTCTGATAACATAGGCTTTTAATATCTGTATTTCAATACTGAAATAGTTTAATGCCTCTATAAAAATGTTTTTAAAATCATTTTAAATAGGCATATTTAAGGGGAAAAATGAATGGACAATTGGAAATCACTTTTACACAACTGTTTTTTGTCTACTAATAGGAAAATAATTTCCTCTAATTAGTGCCATATTTCATATTGAGTGGACATGTAAATTTTATAAACAACCTATCCATAACATTTAATTAATTGTTAAAGGTTAGGTTTTTGAGGACATTACTTAATGTTACATTTAGAAAATCAGATTGTGACCAACAAATAAGTGGAGAATTAAATTAAATAATAGCATACGTTAGTCTGTGAAGAAAATTTGGAGATATGATGAGATGGTTGATTAATATTTGGAAAATTAACTTTAATCTTCTATCTGCATGAGTTTTTCTTTTTGACATGGGTCGCTACATGGAAAGTATTGTATGTTTATAGAGGCCATTTTTTTATACATTTTTTACTTAATATGTTGAGAAGTTTTAAAAAGAAAATTCTTAAATTAGAAGAAAGTTTTCATGCAATTGTTAAAAGGAAACATTGAAATATATTTTAAGTTTCTCAACTTGTTCTAAGAGAAAATAACTGACTGATTTTTTTTAATTGCCCTTAGGAGCTGTACTATAGACAATACATCTGAATAAGTTCAGTTAACTTTTTAAGAAAAAGAGAATGACCTGACACAATCAAGGAAATGAATAATTTTAAAAATTTATAAGCTAAAATATGACAGTCATTTTCTCAAGCAGTCAGGCACATTGCCCTTTTATATTACCAGTCCCATTGAATTATGAATGTGGGCTGAATAAAAAGCCTGAGGGTGACAATGGAGCCACGTTTTGTCATTTGCACTTAGAGAATGTCCATTGCTCTAGCTGGATTTCCAAACCTTACCATTATCTCTGGCTGCTCAGGACTTTGGAAAATACATGAGGAATACTTCAGGGATGGGGGAGATGAAATACTAATTGCTAGTCATAATAATAAGTCTAAAGCATGCAGACTCTTTGGTCCTTTGAGCTGTGCAAGTAAGTCAAACTCAGCAAACTTTCTCAGTCCTAACCAAGCTGAATATATAGAAGCAAAAATCAAAATAAAAAGTCAGTTTTCAAATGCATACTTCTCAGCTGCAGGAATTATGAGTGGGAAGAACAGGTGTTCCGAGAGATTCTACGGTTCTTCAGTTGCTAAGGAAACCACTTTCATCAGTTCAGAAAGGCTGATAACCTGGACTTTTTCTGCCAAATTACTATCAACAAAGGTTGGGACTGATATAAACATGACTACACAAATGAAAAGAACATTAGTACATTAGTAATTTTAAAAATAATGATAAGGTTGCATTAAAAGATGACTGGTAAAATAGTTGCATATTAAACAAGAATAGTTGCATAATTCCTAAATAATTTGAAACAGATTGATGTGAATACACAATCCCAAATTCAAGTATAAAAATAGAAGTTAATTTTTTCATTATCTTAGTGGAAACAGTGTTAATGCAATTAATGACATATGTGTTTTAGTAATTACATAATGAAGCTTGAGTTACATTTTAATGTAAAGTTAATTATATAAAACAGAAATGAGTAGTAGGTAATTTTATAATATTAGACATTTATGCCTTAATCAGTTATTTTCTCATGATTATTTCCAAGTTGTGTATAATACAAATGAATACTTATGAATAACGTGATATGACCTGTATTACAAGAGGCAAAATATGATTAATATTGAATCTGTCTCGCTGAAATATTTTATGCCTATAATTAGTATAAAAAGTACTATAATCGTAATTTTTGAACTGTTGAATTATTTCTTGTAAGAAGTATTGTTTTTACAGCACTGAATAACACAAAGTATATATCTGAAGAATTAGAAAAGCAGCAACAAAGCATGTAAGAAAAAAACCTCTCTAATTTCGGGGGCTTGATTAGTGCAAGACTAGAAATATTGTTTCCACTTACATAAGATCTTTTTGTAATTCATATTTATCAAAATAATTATAATTATAATTCAGAAACTAATCCTTAGTAAAAATTTTAATTTTCACTAACATTGATTTTGTGATTATTTTAAAAATGATCAGAATTATAAATAGTAGCATTGTGAATTCTAATTTTATCTTTAAAATACCAAGAACATCAAAATTTAATATTTGGAATCCAGTAGCAAAGCATTATTATATTATATCATAGTATGTAATCTATTTTAAAGTCTTAAATTAACCATTAAATTTTGCTTGTTCCATTATTTTAAAATGAAAAAATAGGAGGTAGAAAATAGACACTGCGTTTTTCACTTTGTGCCACTTTCATTATAAACTTATTTGTTTTAGAAACAGTTATATAATTTTGCCAAAGTCAGACAAATTGGTACATCTGCAGATAATGGTACAATTTAATATTTAGAAAGTATCAAGTTTTATACAGATACATGCTTCTAGTTTCCATGGAAATTTAATAATCGCTTGAGCATATTTTCATTTATCTTCTTGTATGGAATCAAATAATGTATATACTGCTGTCTTTAAAAATCACTAAAATTAACTCACTTATTGTCTGCTCTATGAAATTAATAATCTCTTGTTTTACTATAATAAAACTTTTTCAAAGGAAGGGACTTCTTGAGAGTACCTGGGATTTAGTAGACATTCAATAAAAATGTCTTTATTGGCTACATTTGAAATTTATTGTTTCTTTTCTTATTGGCATTTATCACAGTAAATATGAAACAGAAACCCTACTTATTACACGAGTGGTCTTCAAACTGGAAAAGGTGTTTGTACAAAGACTTTCTAGGGTGTGTATAAGCATAGATACTTATAGAAGGCCAACAACTATAGCCAATTACTGCAAATACCCCATATTACAAAAAGAAAACTCTGTCGAGGTACCTTTTGGCATTGTTTCCTTCCCATCTATCCAAATGAGGTCATTTCTCCTACCCCAATTCTTACCATAGCATTTTCATTTTGTTTAAAAATATCCTTCATTCGATAAAAAATATTGATGTTTGTTTTTTAAATTGCTCCAGGTTTGGTCATTAGGTAATCCTTCAGCTTGGCTCCCGGAGTCTTTCAATATGGTTTTTCTTTTTCTTCTTCTTCTTCCTTGTAATCATTTTCTTACTTTCTGAAACCCCCAAGTGTCTCTGACACATCTTCCTGCCTGCCCCAGCCCTAGAATCAACCACATCTACAAAGACCCTGGTTTCTTCATTGGACAATTGTGTTTGGAAATTAGGGTAAAATATTAACATTAGATGAAGAAAGTTGAGAAATATAAGTAAACTCTGTAATATTTTGCAATTTTTGTAAGCCTAAAATTATTACAAACTTTAAAATGTTTAAAAATATTGATGCTGGCCAGGCGCGGTGGCTCACGCCTGTTATCCCAGCACTTTGGGAGGCCGAGGCGTGTGGATCATGAGGTCAGGAGATCGAGACCATCCTGGCTAACACGGTGAAACCACATCTATACTAAAAATACAAAAAAAATTAGCCAGGCGTCGTGGCGGGCGCCTGTAGTCCCAGCTACTCGGGAGAATGGTGTGAACCCGGGAGGCGGAGCTTGCAGTGAGCCGAGGTGACATCACTGCACTCCAGCCTGGGCGACAGACCGAGACTCCCTCTCAAAAAAAAAAAAAAAAAAAAAAAAAAAAAAAAAAAAAAATTGATGCTGACTGCAAAGAACAATTATTTAAACTTAGACATCAAGTAACGGCATTGCTGCCTGAACTTCGACATCTACTGGAGCATAAACAGTTGCAGATGAAGATAATTTGTTTCCTGAAAAAAATGTACTTTTGAATTTGCATTTGCTATTATAGTATACTGTAGACATGGAGGAAATAGCTTGTTTATTTAACTATTTATTTATAGATTATGTATTCATCTATTTCTATAGATTACCTATAGAAAATATAGCTATAATGTGACAGTTTATTAAAAATAGTACATTAACTAGTTTCGTGTCGATTAGCAAATTCATTTCAGCATTCCTTTGAAGGGTAATAAAAGTCAACATTGCTCTACTTCTCCTTTGGACCAGCTTCATCTTTAGATTAGTTCTCTAATTAAGAAGTCAGATAATTTTCAATATGTGCTCATACTATTTTTGATTTTATATAAGATGCAAAATTTTAACTTATTAAAAATTCTCTATTGATATAATGAATCTTCCATTAATCAAGATATTATAAACCCATGAAAAGACATATCTTTTCCTTTGTATACATATTTTGAATAAAGATGAAACTGTCATTAAACATGCAGCATTTCAATCTTCATTAATATACTCTCAATTCAGATATGTTCAGACTGGAACAAGGAGAATGCTAAAATTTTAAAATAAATTTACTTGCCTCTTTCACGCCCAGCCATTGTTAAGTGATGCACTGCCCCTAATGGCGAGTTCTCTGAGCCAATTACTAATAGCACCTGTAAGAAATATTGAAGAAATGTGGGTTCATATTATATATACCAAGTGCCTTCTCTGTCTAAACTAGAAGCAGATTGCAAAAGTACAATGGTTGCCATGGATAGATTATTAAAAAATTTATTTTAATAAAAACTTTATCAATACTCTTCTCCAAATTTTCTCTCCTGAGAAACGATTAAAACTCTTTCACGGTGGTATTCTCTTTCAGTGTAGTATTTCTAATAAACTGAACTTTGCTGCATTAGTTTATTTTCATTTTTGTCTTTTTCAGGAGTTTTGGAGAGTCAATGCATGATGATCTCTGAAGATTCTACTGAAATCTAATCAATATGTCCTCACTGCCATCAATTCAAAAGAACTTGCTAAGAAGGCTCTAGAGGCTTGTACTCTCAGATAGTGAAAGTGAGATGATGTGTAGTGAAAGTCATATATAGGTTGTAAATTGCAATATGGAATTCCCAAATGCTGAATTCATTTTATCTCTTCGGAAATAAAAACCTGTTAAAGACTCATTTGATTAAGTGATCATATTTGAAAACACTTATCCTACAGGAAACACTGCCATGTCTTTAAAAACACTGTCATCTGTCTTTGTCTACTCCATTCATTGTCCATGTGTTTACAACGAAGTATTAATATATAGCAAGATCAACATAAGAATGATGATTAATTCTTGGATAATCCCAAAGGATTGATGGGTTCAGAAGGTCTCTCTGGACCAGTATTCATTGTACAAACTCTGTCTTGGATCAACTTTTCAAAATCATACAGATGCTTTAGTTTTATTGTTTATATCCATGAGAACAGTTTTATTTATTTATTTATTTATTTATTTATTTATTTATTTATTTATTTGTTTGTTTTCTGGCCAGACATGGGGGTTCATTGGATACTCAATTTGTGATGACTTATCTTTGGCCAGATTGTGGAGATCCAAGGTTTACAAAAGCACAGTTTTCCTATTTTATATTGCAATTCTCATATGCATATCTTTCTAACAGTTATAACTCTACTAAGTACTATCTGAAACTGCAATGGCTATTTGGGAAATTTTTTATTCTTCACTTGAGAGAGGACTTGAAAGAGAAAAGGGAAGAAAATCCTTATGGGAAGATTATCTGTCTTCACTTTTTAAACTTTTTTAAATTTTTTAAAATTATTATTATACTTTAATTTCTAGGGTACATGTGCACAACGTGCAGGTTTGTTACATATTTATACATGTGCCATGTTGGTGTGCTGCACCCATTAAGTCGTCATTTATATTAGGTATATCTCCTAATGCTATCCCTCCCCCCTCCCCCCACCCCACAACAGGCCCCGATGTGTGATGTCTCCCTTCCCAGGTCCAAATGTTCTCATTGTTCAATTCTCACCTATGAGTGAGAACATGTGGTGTTTGGTTTTTTGTCCTTGCGATAGTTTGCTGAGAATGATGGTTTCCAGCTCCATCCATGTCCCTACAAAGGACATGAACTCATCATTTTTTATGGCTTCATAGTATTCCATGGTGTATATGTGCCACATTATCTTAATCCAGTCTATCATTGTTGGACATTTGGGTTGGTTCCAGGTCTTTGCTATTGTGAATAGTGCCACAATAAACATATGTGTCCATGTGTCTTTACAGCAGCATGATTTATAATCCTTTGGGTATATACCCAGTAATGGGATGTCTGGGTCAAATGGTGTTTCTAGTTCTAGATCCCTGAGGAATCGTCACACTGTCTTCCACAATGGTGGAACCAGTTTACAGTCCCACCAACAGCGTAAAAGTGTTCCTATTTCTCCACATCCTCTATCTGTCTTCACTTTTAAAGAGACATTATAGTGATTAACATGGACAATGCCCCCTTCTTTCATTTCTGTATTTGGAGTACATTTTTGTACCTTTTTTTTTGTTAATCATATAGCAGATAAAATTTTCAAAATCATAAACTATTGTTTAAACCATGATTTTTTATTCTGTGTATGTCAAAATTGGTCTTTCTGCAAATAAGTACTCTCCTTTGCCTGCAAAGGGAGGATAATTAGCTTTTCCTAGTGGTAATTTTATACACGTCTGGAGTCAGTTCCAGCTCTCTTATTTTTCTTTTTGCAATTTTTCTCTCATTTTGACTTTTATTAAGAAAATGGGAGATTAACTGGCTATAAAATGATTTTTCTATTATCTTATGCACACCCTAGAAATATCTAGTGAAGATAAACATATTTTCTTAAAAAATTAAAAAGTAAGTCATTTTGCATCTTTTTCACTTACTAAAACTGTACTTCAGAAGAAAAATTTTAATGAAGAAATTTTTAACGGCCTTCCTTCCTAAGTAAGAAGAAAAATTAAACCAAACTTTTAGCATGAATTAAATAACATTAACAACTTTTTATATAAGGCTACAGAGTTTTATTTATTTTAAATGAGTTTAGATAGTATTTCTGGGAGACAACATTTTCAACAAATTAGAATTATATTAATTATAAAAATATTGTGTCTTCTCATTGATTGTATTGTCATTTAAACTGATGTTGGCACACGGTTTTCATTGATTATATCGTATACATATGTAGTAAAGCAAAAGTAAACATTTTATCTATTGTACTTATGTAAGTATGTACATCCAAACGCACAAACAACACAATCACATACACATATACACATCAACATATTAAGATTACCAGCATATTAAGAATAAACCAAAGATAATACATAGTAAAAAATAATTTAAATTTTTTTATGTTATACTATAAATATTAATACAAATATTAGAGTAAAATGAGTTCTACTTGCCTTGGTTTATTTTGCTTTCAAATGATATATTTAAAAATATAGTAAATAATTCATATTTTAAACAAAGTTGATTGAATGTTAACAATTTATCAGTATCGGTTTAAAATGAAAATCGGACAAAATATTTTCTTGATATTTGATTAATTTTTTTGTTTTACTTGGGTTAGTAAAACATCAGGATAATTTATGAATAATTTGTTGCAAATTGTTACTGGAGGAATTTAAAATTTATATTTATTGCTACAAAATTTTCAAGGTTATTTTGTTCAAAACCAGCAAGTCCTTTTAATTACTAAATGTTTTGTCAATGCTCCAAGCATTTGGCATACTTTTAAATCATACATACCCAAAATTCCTTATTTAAAGAATTAAGTTGCTAATTATTATTTTTACTTGCTGTTTACTTTTAAAATTTACCGGTATCTATTTCTTGCCTTTAGATATAATTTTCATTTCTTATTGTCTCCTCTGACAATTCTCAATTATGTTTGTAACAAATTAATTTCCCAAATTCAGAATAATCAAATATTTATTGACTCTTCATCCCAGCCAAAACAGAGTAAACCCACTACAGCTCGTGCCTCTTACTGATAGATTATAACTAAAGTCTCTGAACAAAATTTAAATAACTCTCTAAGAACCTTGGAAAGTAAGCAGAAGCCAGAAGAGAAGGAGAGAAACTGAAAACTTGAAGTAACTCATCCAAAAGTGAATTTCCCGGTTGTTTCATTAGTTTATTTGTTTGGGTATTGGTTTTGTTTTACTTTCTATTTCTCCAAACATGGACTCTAAGATGAGCCTCTAGCAGAGGTGTGTTGGAAAGCGAAAACTGCAAAAAGGAATTCATTCATTCTGCCAAAGGAATTGGGAAATGAGCCCCTGGAATCTGGACAGTGTAGGAAGAATTCCTTTCTTTTGCTTTTAAATTTAAATCATGTTTGGTTTTCCCGGAAACTAAACCAGTTTACACATAGACTCCTTCACTTTTTGAAAGGAAAGATAGAAGAAATAATTAGATTCGCTCAAAGTTTTAATTAACTTAAATCTATTGTAATTCTCTTTCATTTTTCAAACTTAGGAAAAAATATCAATATATTTAAATGATTGCAATTATTAGGAACATAGTTATATTGAGGTAAAATGAACAATACAGAGCGTTCACTTGGATGTCTGCAAAGCTTATTACTACTAGAAAATTGTCTCATTAGCTGAAACCACTAAACCTTATGAACTTACTGTGTCTGACCCTAGAAGCTCCCAGATATAATGGCTTTTCCTTTAGTTGTGACTTCATACTCACAGGAGAGTTCCTCTCATTGAGAAATTTTAACTTTAAACCAAATACATTAGGGGATACTAGAAAAAGTAGTTTCATGCTTTAGATGGAACCGATTACGATTCTATGTTTAAATTATTAAAATTAGAGTAATAAAACACATCAGTACCTCACTAACGAAAGCCTTTTTACCAAAGATGATTTCTTGCTACTGGAATTTAACATGGATGGGCGCTGCTGTCTTCCTTAAAAATAATTCAAGACAGTTCACTTTTTAGAGTAAGTTTTTTTCAATGAGGGTGTTTATTACACACAAAATAAGATATTATGCAACAATATTATAAAACTGAAGGACTATAAATATGACTAAACAAAAAATTCAGGTTTCTCAAACCATTTCTCAACTCTTTTGTACTCAACTTTGTTTAAATCACAGTTCCAAAATTTTGATAATTATATTGTTACTCAATAGTAAACCTTAATTTGAGTATTTGGGAACAGTCACTGATATATATGTGTGTATGTGTACATATGTGTGTGTTTCTATATATATATATAGAGAGAGAGAGAAATGAAATAATCCAAAATTTAATTCTCAGGTACAAGAATTAACAGTCCTCTAGAATTATTTATTTATTTTAAATGGTATATTTACATATATTTAACAATTTTTTTTTAAACTTAGTAATACAGTTTGGCTATGTCTCTGTCAGTACAGTTAGACCTACCAGCATTTTTAAAGGTCAAAGATATTTAGCATTTTATTACTAATATACTCTAATTCAACTAATCCTTCACTTGCATAGGTATTGAGTTGATCTATTCTTTTTAAAAATACTGCAAAGTACATATTAATACACATTTGCATAGTTTGTTTACATTTTATGGATTCTTGATAAATAAAACCTTAGATTTAATAAAGTCTCAATTCAGATGTATGTAATGTAAAATGTAAACATCTTCCTAATAATAATGCAGTTTGCCTTGTTTGTATTTTATAAGAGGATAAAAAGGGATGTGGAAAAATATAAGAATTGCCCCCCCCAACACACACACACAATAATAGCAAAACCCAACATTTTCAGTGTATTTTCTTGATGTCAAACGCTTTCATCTTTACATGTATTAACTCACAATAATTCTGTAAAATAAGCACGCTATCTTTCCCTTCATTTATAGGGAACAAAACAGGCACAGAGAGAAACAGAACCTAGTACTAGTATTAGTGGTATTAATAATAGTAATTGTGGCAGTCACTAACAATTATTGAGTATTTGTTACAGGCATTATTTTAATAAATTTATACAACCAACAAAAATATGAGAATATTTACAGAGAAATATCTAAGGTCCTATCCTAAACAGGCTTTTATATGCTATTCATTAGGATATGGATCAATTACCATATATTACATGTTTAGCATTACTATCCAGATAAGATATATATTTATTTATCAATTTAATAAATATTTGGAAACAATTATTATACATGTAACCATTTTTGCTTGGAGTTTTTAAACTCCTTTATCTTTATTCTATATAAAGTTATCTATTAAGAAGTTAAATTAAAATTTTATATCAGTTGAATTGCCTCCATGCAGATTATAGACAAGTTTAGAAATCTATGTT
Source organism: Homo sapiens (assembly GCF_000001405.40). Taxonomy (NCBI): domain Eukaryota; kingdom Metazoa; phylum Chordata; class Mammalia; order Primates; family Hominidae; genus Homo; species Homo sapiens. The sequence goes on along the minus strand of NC_000005.10, from coordinate 27,401,355 downwards.
TCTAAATTACCCATTTCAGTTTATTTATAAATATTTATATTAATTATGCAAGGTATTATGCATATATATGTGCAGTTGAGTAAATAATATAAAAAATTAATTAACAATTAATTAATCATACTATTTCTCTCCTTGAAATATGTAAAGCTGTGAGGGACATGATAATTTGCTCTACTCAGCTTTTTTTAATCAGTCTTACGATAACTCTTTATGGTGAGATATACAATATGCTTCAATTAATTCCAATTATTTAATTTTTTCTAGTCTTGAAAAAGGAAAAAGATCCGCCTGGTTATCTATGTTATAAGCACATTAGAATATTATTTTGGTAGTTAAAATCAGCCTAAGGAAAATGCATAGTAACATGAATTTTTTGACTTCATAAAAATCACTTCACTTGGGGTTAGGTTTTCTTAAAAGCAAATGGCAAAAATGTTTTTTTAGAAAATGCCATTAATTTGAAAAGAAAATGCCACCAAAATAGGTATGACATGAAAATGCGACAAATTGACAAATGGCAATTTGATGTGAAAAAGAAGGTTTAGGCATACCCAGGAATTATTTTGACCCATATGACTGTGTTATAAAGCAAGAAATTTAATTATTTTAGCTTTAAGAAAAGTGCTGTATTTAAGACACATATTCTTTATTTCACTTTAATTTAATTCAAAAATATTCTTAGATATTACTATTTACAAAACACTGATCTTTACTTGGTATATTAAAAAGTATATCTATTTGGGATGCTTAAATATAATAAAAAATATAATGATGTGAGAAAATTAAGATAATTTTAATGCAGTAGTTTAAGTTTTATTTTAAATCACTATGGGTACATAATAGTTGTATATGTTTATAGGGTACATTTGATATTTTGATACAGATATGCAATGTATAATGACCAAATGGGGATATTGGGAGTATCCATCTGCTCAAGTATTTATCATTCCTTTTGTTAGTAACATTCCAGTTCCATTCTTTGAGTTACTTTAAAATATACAATAAATTATTGTGAACTAAAGTCATCCTATTATGCTACTGAATACTATATCTTATTGAGTCAATCTAACTCTATTTTGTACTCATTAACCATCCCCACTTTATTCCCTCACCCCTCTGCTACTCTTCCCAGCCTCTGGAAACTACTCTCTATTTCCATAGGTTCAATTTTTTTTAGCTGCTACTTATAAGTGAGAACATGCAATATTTATTTTTTCGGTGCATGACTTATTTCACTTAACACAGTGTCCTCCAGATTTATCCATATTGTTGCAAATGACAGGATTTAGTTCTTTTTATGAATAATATTCCATTGCATATAGGTACTGCATTTTTAACCCATTTATCCATTGTTGGATGCTTGGGTTGATTCCATAGCTTGATTTTTTTTTTTTTTATTATACTTTAAGTTCTAGGGTACATGGGCACAATGTGCAGGTTTGTTACGTATGTATACATGTGCCATGTTAGTGTGCTGCACCCATTAACTCCTCATTTACATTAGGTATATCTCCTAATGCTATCCCTTCCCCCTCCCCCCATCCCAGGACAGGCCCCGGTGTGTGATAATCCCCACCCTGTGTTCAAGTGTTCTCATTGTTCAATTTCCACCTATGAGTGAGAACATGCAGTGTTTGTTTTCCTGTCCTTGTGATAGTTTGCTGAGAATGATGGTTTCCAGCTTCATCCGTGTCCCTACAAAGGACATGAACTCATCATTTTTTATGGCTGCATAGTATTCCACGGTGTATATGTGCCACATTTTCTTAATCCAGTCTATCATTTATGGACATTTGGGTTGGTTCCAAGTCTTTGCCATTGTGAAGAGTGTCGCAGTAAACATACGTGTGCATGTGTCTTTATAGCAGTATTATTATTTTGAATAGTGCTGTTATAAACATACAAGTGCAGGTGTCTCATGTGTTACACAATGATTTCCTTTCTTTTGGAAATATACCAAGCAGTGAGATTGCTGGGTCATTTAGTAGTTCTATTTTTAGTGTTTTGAGGAACCTCCATATTGTGGTCCCTAGTGGCTGTACTAATTTACATTCTCACTGCAATGTATGCTCTTTCTCCTTTTTACACATTTTGACCATCATTCATTATTGCCTGTCTTCTGGATAAAGCCAGTTTATCTGTGGTGTGATGGTAACTCATTGTAGTTTTGATTTGTATTTCACTGATTATTAGAGATGTTGAGTATTTTTTAATATACCTGTTGGCCATTTGTGTGTCTTTTTTGAGAAATCTCTCTTCAGATCTTCTGCCCATTTGTAATCAGATTAATTGTTTCTGGAAAATAGTAATATAGAGTTGTTTGTGTTCTTTATATATTCTGATTACCAATCCCTTGTCAGATGATTAGTATGCAAATATTTTCTCCCACTATGTGGGTTGTCTGTTTACTTCATTGATTGTTTCCTTTGCTGCGCAGAAACTTCATATCTGGCTGTGATCCCATTTGTCCATCTTTGCTTTAGTTGCCTGTTGTTTTGAGGTCTTACTCAAGAAATATTTGCCCAGACCAATGTCCTGGAGATTATCCCCAATAATTTCTTATATTACCTTTATAGTTTGAAGTCTCTTATTTAACTGTTTAATCCACTTTTATTTGATTTATATATAGAGCAAGAGGAAGAGGTCTAGTTTTGCTCTCCTGCAAATGGTTATCTAGTTGTCCCAGCACCATTTATTGGAGAGACTGTCGTTACTCCAATATATGTTCTTGGCAGCTTTGTTGAAGATGAGTTGATTGTAAATGTGTGGATTTATTTCTAGGTTTTCTATTATGTTCCATTTGTCTATGTGTCTGATTTTATGCCAATACCATGCTGTTCGGGTTATGATACCTCTGTGGTATAATTTGGAGTTAGTTAATATAATTCCTCCAGTTTTGTTCCTTTTGCTCAGGAAGACTTTGGCTATTCTGGGTTTTGTGTGGTTCCATATAAATTTTCAGATTATATTTTCTATTTTTATGAAGAATGTCTTTAGTATTTTGATTGAGACTGCATTGAACCTGTAGATTGCCTCGGGTAATGTGGACATTTTAACAATACTAATTCTTTCATTTAATGAACACAGAATATATTTCCACTTTTGTGTCCTCTTTAATTTCATTCATCAGTGTATTTTAGTTTCATTGTAGAGATCTTTCACTTCTTTGCTTAAGGTTATTCTCAGGTGTTCAGTAAAAGTTTCAGGATACAAATTACCAACAGGAAGTAATTTGAAAAAGAAGCCAAGAAAATAATTTTATTTCCAATAGCTACAAACAAAATAAAATACCCAGTGGTACAAGTTTTAGGAAAGTGATGGGAATATATTCACAAAGGGAGATAATTCATCCAACATGTTGCTTTGTTTTTAATGCTGAATAAGTAAATGTTTGTCTTATGCCATATACTTAAATGAACTACATATACTCCTTTTCTTATTTAATCCTCAATGTGAATCCTCACATGAATATATTAATATTACCATTATTATCACTATTCTTTAATATCCTTATTTTGTAATGAGGTATATGAGGATAAGAAAAATGTGTTGTATTGTCTATGGTTCCACAGTTTGTGAATGGTAGAGAAGCAATTACAAACAACAGTATATAACCACACCTGGTCTAAATCTGAAGTATGAATTAAAACTACTCAGTTTTGCAGAGTGCTAGAGTTGCCGGTTTTGTTGGCTGTGGAGATGGTGATGATGGTCTGGAAGATAATCTTTATGGAGATGATAATGGTGTGTGTGTGTGTGTGTGTGTGTGTGTGTGTGTGTGGTAAAAATTACACAAAAGAGAATAATGTAGAAAATAATTTCAAGAAATATGTAAAGAAAAATTATTGTAGAATGTGCAGAAAAGTTAAATATATTTTTAAATTATTTAAACATGAAGATATTTTAAGAGGATCAAGTTAAAAATATTAGTAGTTAGTAAGTAAGTAAGGTGGGTAATGGATTGTTAACCAAGTAAGGGAAGGGTTTTGTATAAATTCCAAGAAGTTTAATTAATTTATTAATTTATTAATTTATTTTGAGACCCGAAATTTCACTCTTTTGCCCAGGCTGGAGTGCAACAGCACGATCTTGGCTCACTGCAACCGCCACCTCTCAGGGTCAAGCGATTCCCCTGCCTCAGTCTCCTGACTAGCTGGGATTACAGGCATGTGCCACCACACGTGGCTTATTTTGAATATTTAGTGGAGACGGGGTTTCTCCATGCTGGTCATGTTGGTCTTGAACTCCCAACCTCAGGTGATCCACTCGCCTCTGCCTCCCAAAGTTCTGGGATTACAGGTGTAAGCCATCGCGCCTGGCTTGAAGTTTAATTTTTTTTTTTTTAATGATATAGGGAACTATTACAGTGCTTACAAAAAGGAAGTGAAATGGTAATATTTGTGTGAGTTACATCTCATTCTGGTTACCATAAGAAGTATAAATATTTTGTGAAATTTATTAAGATATCATTTTAAACATTAAACTATACCTGAATATATACACTTGTATAACTAATCACTGCAAATGTTCCTTCATACCCTTTTGAAATCAAATTTACTCATTTTTAGCCACAGGCAATAAATAATTTATAGAAGCCAAAAATTGGAAACAACTCAAATATTCATTGACAAGAGATTGAATAAACAAATTGTTGTATAATTATGCGATGGAATTTTTAAGCAGTAAAAAGTAATCAATCATGATGCATGCAGCAACACAGAAGAATCTCAAGAACATTATGTTGCTTGGAAAAAGTGAGGCACAAGAAAGCAAATTTACATGAAATTCTCAAACAGCAAAATTAGTTATAGAAAATAGATTTTTAAGCAGGCAAATCTACTTAAAGTAAGGAGACTGTTTAGATGGCTAAATAAGAAGATCTTTAAACATGGAAGAAACAAGAGTTTTTGATAAGTAGATTAATTTGTGAAACATTTTGGATATTACATTTTCTGCACTTGAATACTAAAACTGGAATTACAAAATATTTTTTGCCTGCAAGTAGTTTTAGGATCTAAGGAACTAAAAAATATTGTATGGAATTAAGATACTTAAATCTGAATTAAATTCAAACTTGGATTTGGTAGAACCAGAATTCATGCATCGGCTATGAATTTTTTAGAAAATAGTTGTTTTATACTGAGATTCTTAATTTTATAAACAAAGATTGACCATCTTTCTCACTAAACTCTAGTGATTAATAAATAGCAAAATACATGTCAAAGTGCCTAATAGAGTGTCTGGTTCATAGTAGGCAATCTAAATCAATTTTAATTAAAAAGTAGGTGGATATTATTCCAGTACATTCATCTTATGAAAAAAAGTAAAAACAATTTGCTGTGTTTAGTAATTTTTGATAGGGCTTCGGAGGACTCACCTTAAAAGGGTAAAATAAATGCATCTGCATGATCTTGAAAGACCTGCCATTTGGACGCACACAGTGTGATGCCAGGAAAGGTATCCCTGCTTTAACTATTTTAGAAAGATGTAAGAGGCAGGTGTTTCTGTTGAAAAGATTAAACATTTAAAAAGCTGCAGGTAAAGTAAAATTCTAGAGTTATTAAAGACCCAGAGAAAATGTTCGCACTAAATTTTGAGAGATTGAGATTATGGAGATGTTTTTCAAAATGTAAGAACATAACTATATGAGCTTAGCCTTAAGAACTGGTTAGCAACTGGGTAAAGAAAACACACACACACGCACACATGCACACACACACACACACACGCACACACGAACACACACACGTACACACACGAGATACTGCGTGTCTATTGCATTTGCCTTCTTAATTTATTAAACTTGACCCATTCATGCTTAAAAGATAAGCTTAGGTTATTTACTATTTCAAAGTATTTTTTAAAGGAATTTGTGATAATATATTGGTCACTTTAAGAAAAAAAAGCACCATTATTGATTTTATCAGATAGTGGTAACTGTACTGGAGCACATCTTACATTGGAAACCCAAAATGCTCAAGTGTAGTTAATAATCACCAAGTAAAAATTCCACAGGAAGGGATCAACTAGTTTAAATATTCTACAGTTTCAACTAATGTGTTGTGTTTGAATGAAACTAATCAAGTAGAACCAAATACTTGAAAATTTTAATCTCATTTATAAATTTCTTTTATTTTCCTGCAGTGGAATACAGCAAAACTATTAAGTCATAGGTGTTTAATTTTAATATACATTAAAATTTTATAGCACATGTTGGGATTGCTTTTATGTATTTTCACATTTCCCAGAAATGACTCAGTGGTATTTTTTTTTTCACTGAGCCCATAAATATCTAATGAACATTCAGTGAAACTTGAAGAGAAAAAGTGTTTACTTCTCATTCCCTCTTATACCTTTTTATCAAAAAATAATGAAATGAAAACACAAGAGCCCAATGGGAATTTGATGCCAAACTGGAACGTATAATACACTGTCATTTCACATAAAAATAATAATTAATGTGAAATACTACTACTTGGAGATTTTATTGCACTGGTCCTACCCATGCATAAGACTATTGTTCCAAAAGCCCAGAAAGGATATTTATGCTTTGTAAAAGGTGACTATATTTTAAGTCAACTCTCAGAATATAAACAATTCTGAGATTAATGCCGTGCCATAGAGCTTTCTGTGATGTTAGAAATGTTCTATAATTCTGGATTGTCTAACATGATAGTCACTAGCCACAGGTGGCTCTTGAGCACCAGAAATTTGATTAGCACGACTAAGAAACTGCCTTTTAATTTTTAAATAAGTAAAGCTTAAATTTAAATAATGATATGAGGCTAGTGGCTATTGTATTTGACAGAAAAGTTCCAGGCTGATAACAGTTATTTTCACAATAGGACATGTATCCAAGCAGGAATTTATAACTGTGATGAAGGCCAAAGAAATAGGATTTTTTTTTTTAATTTGAGACAACAATCAATGATCTGTTTCCTTTCTGAATGTAAGGATCCTAGAGAAAATGGCCACACTTTAACAAAAATTTCTCACAAGTCTTTGTAAGTGTAGTTTGTTCATATCACATAATAAGAAATTTTCTTTTCCAAAAAAGGTGGTGACAATTGAAATAACTTGCATTAACATAGTCTAACAATCTCAACTGAGAACTGAATGACACTCTTCCTACCATTTTAACGTGTATTGACTTTTTCCCTAGATATTCTTGCACAGGAATGTAAGGCTACAAACCAATAAATAGATATTGCCAATATATGACAAAGTATATTGTTCCTATCAGGAGAAAATTTTGCTCACCTGGGCAAACAATTTAGTTAGGAGATAACAGTTTACTTATCAAGACCATTTATTATCTGTGCCAACTATCCTATTTTTTTTTTTTTTTTTTTTTGAGACAGAGTCTCACTCTGTTGCCAGGCTGGAGTGCAGTGGCACAATCTCCGCTCACTGCAACCTCCGCCTCCTGGATTCAAGCAATTCTCCTGCCTCAGCCTCCCAAGTAGCTGGGACTACAGGTGCCCACCACCACGCCCAGCTAATTTTTGTATTTTTAATAGAGATGGGGTTTTACCATGTTGGCCAGGATGGTCTCGATCTTTTGACCTCGTGATCCACCCACCTCAGCCTCCCAAAGTGCTGAGATTACGGGCATGAGCCACCACCTCAGCCAACTATCCTAATCTTTGATGTCAATAACGTTTCTAGTTCAAACAGTTTCCCACATTGAAAGACTTGTTTTAAATTATCTGGCCTCCAGATCCTAATAATCATAAAAATATCTTCCTCTGTCATCCTCTTTGGAGATTTACTAAGATTCTTTCGAAATGGTGTTTTCCATACCTGCATTGGCATAGACTTTAGTTTACTTAATAAGTTTTCTGGTGACCTTTTTTGGGAGTCAACATTACATGGATATCTTGATAGGAATTCTTTGTAAATAATAATTAAAATTTACATTTGGTTCTTTCTGGAAAGGAATAGAAATACTTTGGAAAATGCTGAAACCCAACATTAGCCTCCATTTGTTGAACTCTTCTCTATAAAATGAGGATGATAATACTGCCAATATTGCATGGTTGTTATAATGATTGAATTGATTGATTAATTGATTAATAATATTCACTTAAATTCCTCTCAAGGCCTCAAGAGACATTGATCATTTCTGCTTATGCCAAGGATGTAATATATCATAAAATTTACATATTTTCTCAACAGAGTGAAAATACCATTAAATGCTCAGATGTAGCAGGATTTGACTATCAAAGAGCATTGACACAACTTTTGCTTAAACTGTATATTATTATTGGTTCAGATGAGTACTTTTGTTTGTAAAAAAAACCTTTTCTTTGAGATATTATAACCAAGCTGCATGAAATAAATACAGAAAAGAAAGATCTTAGTAGATTTACTGTTGAACACAGTTTTATGTCCAGGTACTTCCTTGTTTTTATTGTGGTTCTGGGATACTATTTATACCAATGGCCTGGAGCCAATTCTAAAACCTCACAATTATGAACTGAAGTTAAAACATCACTGTGGCAAAGCATAAGTGATATAATAGGAGAAAAGATACTAACAGGCAGTCGAAGCATATTTTTTTGTAATAAATAAAATATCCAACTCATTAGCTATAAATTAGAATAAAGCAGGAAGTACAGCAGTAATTACACTTTACATGTCCAGGAATCTGGCTTACTGATAATGCCATTGCCTCATCTATATGAAGATGCAATCAGCACCTTGAAAAATGTTTCTTAGTCATTTCTACAGATTTTATTTTAGTTTTATTGTTGATGTTGACCATTTTGCACTCTTCCAATTGGGCTAGAAACTCTATACATGTTCACTTGTCCATAATGTAAGATGTAATTAATAGTACATCCTGAGTAACTACTCAAAGACAAGGTAAGGCAAAGTGTTGGTCTAAACACCATTACCCGATAGGATGAGGATTTTTACCTGTCTAAAGACTATTTCTATAATTAGTCATTAACTTAAAATTTCATTTATTTTTCCACATTATAAGTTAACTATAATATTTTTAATAATTGTTCAAAACCCTCAATCAAATAACAGTGTGGTTATCAAGTAGTCTGTCAAAGAACATGCTGATCAAAATCATATAAGTATTTTATTATAAAATAAAACAAATTAAATTCATCTATATTAAATAAAAGCAAAAGCACTTTGTACATTAAGAATAAAGGTACCTGGCAAAGAGTGTAGGGAATTGAATATTAAAGGTAAAGGATAAGAGGTAAGGGATCATGGCAGAGAATGATAATCCTCCAATATTAATGCATTTACTTTGCTTCCATGCAACTGCTAGATTGCATTTTCCATCCATCTTGCAATTAGAAGGAGCCATGTGAGTGAACGGACAATGGAATAAATATGGAAATAATGAAAACAATTTATTTGAAGGTCTGGTCTCAATATCTTCCTATGGGATCCTCTATATTATCTTTTTCCATAGAGTCTAGCTGAATAATTTCAGGGCAAATTTGAAGTCACATGTTAAAAATGGAAGGACACTAGGAACCTGAATGACTGCCTTGAGCAAACACTATTGCCCTAGCATTCCTCTACATTAAATTATGGTAAGATTGGAAAATGAAACATTTGTTTCATTAAGCCAGTGAACTTTGGGAATGTTTTATTGAACAACTAGAGTTAATTTTATATGTATATAGTTTTGGGGGGAATAGAAAAGTTCTATTTAAATTTAAGTTTAAACCATGTGCCCCAGTCCAGATAGCCATTCCACTAGGTAACCAGAAAACCATACATTTTTTATTTTAGACATTGTCCCAGCATATCATGTACCCAGCAAATTTATGGTTGGGGGGAGGGTGATTAAAATCAAACAGAATTGTACATGGCACTCCAATGACATAATGTCTCTTCTCTTTTCAGTAAAATTATTCCATGTACCAGCTATTATGGTGTTCTTCTATCAGACTAAAATCTTTACTCGATAATAGCACACTCAACTTCATATGAAGGTCATCAGTGAAATGTTGAAATGTAATGGGGAAATTTTTGGAATGAATGTGCTAAAGACTGGAACTGATTAGCTGTACTGAAAAATGAGAATTTGTTTCAATTAACATTTTCCAATTATGAAAAGTCCAAATTCAACTTAATCGACACCTATATCAAAGCCTTCAAGCCTACAAATTAGCTCCCTGGGACACATACTTCCAGGAAACTTTAACAGAGACATCTATAATTGATGCGTTAGCAATCTCACAAGTATGCCAGGGAGTGCATTTAGGTGTCATTGGGCTATTTCGGCACTACTAGAGATGAACAAATTACCCAGCTGCAGATCCTATGGACTTTCACAAAAGAGTCTATTTTAATTTTTTATTCACTTTAAGAAGATTTAGGAACAATGTACGAGATGAAAGAGCTATACAGATAATGATAATAGATTTTATAATGCAAGAGATACTATCACTTATTCAACTCTATTTGTCTATCAATGCAAGCTCCTTATCACCATAGAAACTCATAAAGGCATTACAAAATCATTGTATGCTTTGTACTGCCTACATAATAATAGGTGTTAATAGCAGAGTCTAAATTTACTTGATATTTTTATTGTAACAAAATATTCAATTTTTAAGAAATGTATGGATTCTAGTTTAGATGGAAACATAGAAGTAAATAATGCAAATTAAATGTAAGCCTTTATTAAAAGATAAGTATGTCCAGAAAATAAATATATCTAACACATATGGATTTATATTTGCACTTTTACAAATTAACATATTTAAACATTATAATTATTGTATCGCTGGAATATGTTGATCATTGTCTAAAGAATGAGTTCTACGTAGTTAATAAGAACAGGAAAACAACATAGTTTTAATGGTATATTATTAAAGAGCATTATGGCATTGCTTTTGTGAATCTTTGAATTTGACACTATTTTTCACAGATGAATAAATTTTTAAAAATTTGAAAGTATCAACTGCAAAAAAATTTTGATGATGTTTAAAGAAACACAGTAGAATGCCAAAATAATACTTGCATGTAAATTCAACTAGTTGAAATCTAATCAGTAAAGTATATTAGATTCCTAAATATTGCGTATTTCCCTAGCCATGATCATTCCATAAAATAATGTAACAATTGGCAAATTTTGATATTTAGACACAACTTTATTTTCCTTTTGAATATTCTTATATTACTTTCAGACAATAATCCCTAGTTGAGTTGTACCAAATCTATACTTTTATAGAATGTTTGATGTTTTAAATAATAAAAAACTAACATATTTTGTCAATACAGATATTTTGTCAATACAGATATTTTAATGTATTCAACAAATACAAAAATAGGTGGGTGTGTTTGCAATAGGTTCACTTGGCTAGGCTGACCTACATTTCCTAGAATATCCTTTCCTGTTGGGAAGGATCATGAAATAGATCATTACGTAGGCAGAAATAAAGCCACAGGCATTTTATTGGTCATGTATTTTGTCAGTTCTCTGCTTGTTCACCTTATTAGCATGACACAGTGACTGGCACTGCAAATACTTCACCTTTCAGAGGATCCTTCATCAGCTTCTCTGACTCTTGGTCTGGGTATGTTTAGCTTTGTGATGAAGGATCCCAACTTATACAAGACAATCTCAAAATCAAGGCAAGAAACAAACAGGACGGATATCAATGTCAGCTTGTCTTCTTGGGCTTCAGCTTGTGTTCGTTGGGTCAGATTTGTTCTTGCTCGCATCCACCACATCTCATCCTTGACGCTAAGGGAAATGAGGGAGCTGAGGTCCAAAATTTAAGGAGGCTTTCACTGTAAGGATCATGCAAGTACAGGTGTAGTATTTCTTTCAAAATTTGGTCTCTAATAAAGTACAATATGTTATTAAATAAATAAAGCAGCATATAATATTGCGGCAACAAATTGGATGAGTTAATAGATCACATTGTAATAGAACATATTCTGATAGTTCTAGATTTGAAATATTGAAAATGTCATTTAAACTTGTGATTTATTTTTATTCAACATATCAACAAGAGTAAATGATCTTTGTAGCATGCATAATAAAAAAATCAAATGTTTTTTAAGGTAAGTCATAATTATGAAGACCTGTCTGTTCTCGTGAAAATTTTTGCATTTTCAGTGGCTTTTAATAGTGTTTTTATTGGTAGATTAGCTTTCTTTTGACGCTATATGAAAGCCCACACACAAATTTTGAGAGATCACAATTTTGCTTGTATCTCTTAGATGCTGCAAGAGCCTAAATTCATAACGTTTAGCTTTTTGGCGTTACAAAAAGGTCTGGCACAGAGAACAATGAGCCTCTATCTATGTAACTCTTTCTACAATGAGACTCAGCTTTATTTTTTGCTTCAGACTTTGAAGAGTATCAGGCAAGTTTGGCTATTAACTTAGGTGAGTTAATATTTTCTTTGATGGACTGAGGCCCAGTATTTTCCCAGCACCAGTGGAAGCCTTGGCTCCTTTGGAAACACACGGTTGGATTTGACTTAAGTATGAAAAGAAAGAAAAATCCGTGTGTAGTCAGCAATACAGAGCCTTCAGTTGTTTCAAGAACAGCCAGATTTATGAGCATTTGGTTTGGCAGTTTTATTTATAAAGGAGGTACTTTTCTTTAAGTTAGATGAAATAGAGAAGGAATTCAATGTTGATTTGTTAGAAGCCCAAAGGAAACAGGTACAATTTGGATGAGTAAAAGTGCCTGGGGGAATTAGAGATCCTAGACCACTCAAGTAGACTTAGAATGCCAAAGGAGATATATGGAAATTGTACTAGAATTTACTGTTGACAAAGTAGCAGTTTTGCTATTCAAAAGCTCTGCTTTCTCTTTCTATACTTTAGAGCCTGTTTTCCTTAAGGGAATCAATGCTAACTAGATACTGCAATCCTTCAGAGCCACTCCACCCTAACTCAGAAGCATCTTTCTCCTGTCTCTTGGTAGCAAGGATGGGTCAAAAGTTTTTGAAGTCCTATTTGTTTTCATAATATCTTGAAACATTTGTATAAAAGAGTATCTTCTCATTTTGTCACTGGAGTTCATCCATCACATAGTTTTATTTGTAGAGTAAGAGCCATTAAATGAATCTGAATCTTGTTGCTGTTATTTTTTTTCTTTGAATATTTGTAGAGCATTCAGCTAAATGTTATAGATTGGTCAAGGGGAACATTTGCCACTTTTCTTGTTTTCTTACAGACAACATTTCAGGTTTAAATTGATCTAAAAAAGATGTGGAACGTGCAATGGAAACATCTGTATTATGTCTATACCTAAAATACGGTGCCCGAGATGGTTTTAATGTTCCCCTTAGCTTGACTAAGCTTTAGACAGGTTTCTTTCTTACTGTAGTCCCCTAACAACCCTTTTTATAGAGCATACATTTTAGAACACTTGTAATTGCAAATTCTTTCTCAGCTCTCTTTGAAATGTATATATCTCTCCTTTGGAGTTCCTTACCAGTTTTAAGATCCAGTGAATGGCTTTCTCAAGAACCTGAGATCTCTCTCTCTCCCTCCTTGAAACGTCAACATTGGAGGAGAAAGTTCCTGCATCTTTTAGTCTCTTTGGGAGGGTAGAAGCCTAACTTCAGTTGGCTCTTTGCTCCAAATTGTAAAGCTAACTTCTGTCATGAAGATATGCGAAAGTTTACTTTTCCTTTGGGTAAAGACTGTTAGCAAATACAGGTGGCCTCCAATTTCCCCCACCACAGCTATTAAAAATTTCAGTGTTGTTGTTGTTTTGTTTGCTTTTAATCTTAGCGGAAGTGAATTTAATCCCTCTTCAATGTTGTAAAAATATTGAACTTTACAGGCTTCCTGGCCTGTTTGATTTTGTCCAGGGCAATTTTTACATTGTCAACATTAAAAGTATTTTTCAAGTGATCTCCAAAATCTCCAATTTATCCTTTGCCTTCACTGTTTCTGAAATTAAATTTAGGTCAATATTTAATCAGTTTAAAGTTTGTGAAATGTCTTTGACAAGGTTTTATACTATGACCTGGGCTATTTGAAGTCAATTCTCAGACTTTCAGCATCCATGTTCCTTTAGATCCTTCCTGGGAGTTCCCTCTCCCCCAATCATTATCTCTATCCAAGTCTTGGCTATTAAATTACCATCTTTAATAAACAGTCTATTTTAGTTTTATAAATTCAAAAAACTGAGATTATAAGGACCCAAGAAAATTCAGTATCCCTTTAAATTTTTTCCTTTATTCTCATGGATTTGGGAAATTTTTGACAATGCCATTGAAATTGTCCATGTCAATGTGCTAAAGTCCACCTGACATAGATTTCTGACCTTAAAGTGGTTTCATACAGGATAGAAGGAAATTATAATTTTGAAATAGAATTGTGTCTTGGAGGTAGGAGGAGTAAATGTGGAGAAAAGCTCATGATGTGGAGATGGAGAATTCTAAGGGTAAAGCTGTTCGAAGTTGTTTGCTTGTTTATTTGCTGTCTGTTTTCACGTTTGAATAGTCTGCACCAGAAAAAAAAAATTAGGAAAATGATTTTGGAGTCCAAATTAGGTTTTGATTTTTCCACATGCCAGTCAAGAAAGGCTGACCATTAAATGTTAGGTATTTTGTACCTTCCCTTCTAAGACATCTATAAGATTGTCTAAGTCATATCGAAGTTTCCTCAAAATGGCCGCAACAGTGCTAAGTTGTCTTTAGTAAAAATGTGCAACTTTGTTAGAAATAATATTTAGGACAAGATGGGAGTGCGTGTATGAAGCATAAGTTTGCTCAGGTTGGAGTGAATACTTCAACTGAGACAACCCTGTAAAAACTGAGCTGGTTGAAAAATTATGTTACTTCTGCACCTCATGTATAGATTTTAACCAAATGCCAGCTATCACCACCTGTGAGCCTGACATACTGTACTTCCCAGTAGATGGAAAAATCAAATCAATTCTCAGGGAAACCAAGAAAGGCAAGAAAAGAGTCTATACAAGGTCTTGAGTGATGACTCAAGTCTTTGTGTTCAAAGCACACTAGTACATTCAGAAATTCTACTTGTTATTCTTTGGAGCTGGTTCAAGCTGTCAGGTTTATTGAGCATCTTCTTCTTGCCATTTTCTTTAAGTGTAAACGTCAAGTTCATCAATAAAAGAGAATGAAGTAATAGAAAAGAAAGATACAGCCTGGACTTCATCATGGAACACAGGCTTACACAGACCAATCAGAATCCTAAATAATATACAGTTGGCCCTTTGGATCTGTGGGTTCCCCATCTGTGGATTTAACCAAGTGCAGATGGAAAATATTTGGAAAAATATATCCACAATGTCCCAAAACAGCACAACTTTAATTTGCCAGGTGCTGAGTACTGTGTTGAATTCACACAAATAAAGTGATCTGTAGGCATTGTAGTAGGTATTATAAGTAATCGAGAGATGATTTGAAGTATACAAAAGCATATGCACAGGCTATATGCAAATATGATGCCATTTTATATAAAGGACTTGAGCATCTGCGAATTTTGGCATCCACAGGAGTCCTAGATCTGATCCCCCATGGATACCGAAGAATGACTGTACTTGATTTTACCACTGAAAATAAACAGCAACACAGGGCTCAACAAAAGTTTTAAGCTCATATTCAGCATAACATTTCATTGTTCAAAGATGGTTGTTCTCTACAGCTGGTGATGAAAGAGTCTCAGATGTGAACACTATTGAGTCTACCCACAAAGGACAACTGAGAAAACACCCTTGCATTAACCAAACCCAGTTTATCACCCTGATATAGCAAGAGAAAATGCAGCACAAATGATTCTTAGGAGTGGCTCCTTTTTTCAAGACTCTTTGGGGAAATATTTTACATGGCTTTCTTTCAGACATGGGTCTAGTATTGTGATTGAGAAGTTAATATTTTTAAAGAGGCCTGTCAATGGTTTCTGACAATAGCAGGCTAAGGATTTGGCACACACAAATATCCTGAGGAAAAAAAAATGAAATAGAAAAAAAATGGTTATCTTTCACAATATTTGAAGGTCAGGTAATCTAATGATAATTTTGCTATGTTTGCTTTTTAATGATAGTCTTACACACACGAATTAGTGATTTAATTTCTAAAGGAATAATATGCACCTTCTAAAATCGCTTTGCCTAAAGCTTGGTCTATAGCTAAGCTTAGACCATCTTCACCCTAATTTAAACCCATAGGACAAGTGAGGAACCTCTGAAAACTTTCAGCTACTATTGGAGACTTCTTTTTGTCTCTAAATGATAAAAGAAAATCTATAATCATAAGAGGAAGTTGGATTCAAATCTAATCTTTGAATATTAGAGCAGCCACATATTATGACTAGTAAAAGATCTGAGTATAATCAGTTAAATGATGTGTAAATAAGGAATTTTCTGTATCCCAGGGAGAGAACAAATTTTATTCATTACAGTATGAATCTCTTTATTTTACAAATTGTGAATGGGATGCCTTATCAATAAATCTTCAATTCAAGCAACATAAATTCCCAGTACTTCACTACATGATCTTCTTACTGTATTATTACGTCAATAAGGGTCGCAAAACAAAGTACATAGTCAAATTATGAAAATTTTCCCAGCCAAAATATTATTTTTGAATTAATCTTGAAATAATGAAAAAACACCAAAAAAGCATTAAAAAGTATGTGAAAAATGTCTCTGGAAATTTTTTTGGCATGTCACCTTAATGTATCAAAATCATTTTCAGTACAGCTTCAAAGCATTTGATATTCTGAGAGAAAATGATAGTTTAAAAAGTAATGTCTGTATAAATGATACTTGATTGATGATGTAATTTGAGAGACTTAAAAATTGTTATAGATTTTCAGAGAAAAATCTTTCAGGCAGTTGTTACATCAAATATTCTGAAATATATTTTGCTCTTTGCTTTTAAAAAGTGAATAATTATATTAATACATGTGCAGGATTTTTCTTATTTTAGAAATTTATCATTTTATGATGCTTTAAATAATTTTTACCTTATTATTTTAGCAAATTTTACATATTCATTACAATATTATTTTAAAATATTTTATTACCTTGGCATCCTTTTACTTGTCCTTTCTTTGTTTCTATATTAACTCTATTTGCGGTTGACACCTAATGATTCAGGAATGATATTTACTCTAAATGTATTATTTACCAATTATTATTAGAAATTATTGTTACTACTACCATTCACTTGACAATAATTATATTAGGCCCCACTTCAAGTGTAAAATAATAAATAGATAAATAGATGGGCTTAGCAACTTGAAGTGATATCTTGGAGGATGACAATGTAAGTCAAGAATGATAGAAAAGTATCCCCCATTAGCTCATTCTATTTAAGCTTAACAAGTTTAAATAAAATAGATCTCCTTTTAATAATACCTATTATTTAAGAATTCTAGGGCATGTTAGAATAACAGGCACTCATGACTATTCTTTTTCTCCATGCTCAGGGAAATATGATGCACAGATTCTCATAGGTCTGTGTAGTGTGCTCATAAGTGAACAATTCAGTGTGCTCAAGAGGTTTGTGTACTTATTTGTTAAAGTTTAAAATGGTTTTAATCTTCCTCAAGTTGTAACTTGCTGGCATTTTTAGCAGATGTGTTTTCCCCAAATACATTTGCAAGTTATTATGATCTTGTAGCTAAGTGTCAAAAACTGGTTTTCTACAGTAGCATGCTCCATTATCATGTCTTTATCATCATATGTATATATGTGACATCTATATATAATATAGCAATAATATCTACCTACACTCACACACACACACACACACACACACACACATATATGGAGAGAAAGCCTGTAAATTGAGTCTTTTAAAAAAAATCCCATCATTAATCATTGGATTTCTGTATTAATTAATCACATTAATCAACTTTCATCTCTTCCTTAACCATTTCCTAGTTAATTGACAATTTTGCTCTATTGTGTTCCTTAACATTTATTAGCCTGTTTACTATATTTATTAAAATTCATCATCTTGAGCTTGGCCTCCTTTTGTAACCTGCCAATTAATCTGTTTCAATACTTAACTCTATCTTTCAATACTTACCTCTAATATATCTTTCATAACACCAACAAATATTTATTTTTGCATCATGTGTCAATGATAAAGTTGAAATTTTTTGTACACTTGCATGGATCTATCTTGTTCCAATAAATCTAACTATTCAGAAGAGTTTACACATTTTTTATTTATTTTATCCCTATGATCTAGTCACATTATTTATCCTTTTCTAATATAACATTTTTCTAAATTCAGCAAACAATTTCAACAGGGCCAAATGATTTCTACCTTTAATGTCCTATGCGGCTTCACACTTCTGTGTCTTGGCTAGTGCTATTTCCTCTGCCTGAGATAGTCTTATCCATTGGTGTTCACTGTTGAAGCAAATCTATACGTCTGAGCTGTGGAAATGTTCATAGTATCTTAGTAAAATTCAGTATTCCCTTTTGTGCATACTTCCTGCATTCTGTTTCATTCCCAATTATTTTATGCTCTGTTGCACTTGTAGTTGATCATTTTGTGTCACCTCCATTTTTTTTGTTTTTTCTTTTCTTTTCTTTCTTTTTTTTTTTGGTGACAGAGTCTCACTCTCTGTTGCCCAGGCTGGAGTGCAGTGGCACCATCTCGGCTCATTGCAACCTCTGCCTCCTGGGTTCAAGCGATACTCATGCCTCAGCCTCCTGAGTAGCTGGGATTACAGGCACGCACCACCATGCCCGGCTAATTTTTTGTATTTTTAGTGGAGACAGGGTTTGGCCATGTTTCCCAGGCTGGCCTTGAATTCCTGAGCTCAGGCAATCCACCCTTTTGGCCTCCCAAAGTGCTAGTATTATAGGCGTAAGCCACCACGCCTGCCTGTCACCTCCATTTTCTAAGAGGCATAATTGAAAATCAGCAATTAAATTCAACCTATCATTGTTGTACACCCTAAATGCTTTTTAGGATATACTAAAATTCTCAAACATTTTTGAATACAAAATAAGCATTTGGCTTATAATTGTCAAATAAGACTCGGTCCACAGTCAAACTATTTTACAGAACCAAACATGATGAGCCTTTTGGAATGTAACCCTATTTAATGACTAACTATAATGTGATTGATCCTATAAGGTATATCATAATTTTAATTATATATTTTTGTAAGAATTTCATATTCAATAGCAAGATGGAAAATGGTCTTATGTTCTGATTCTTTAATATTTTCATAAATGTTTCTTATGTCACTGAACAATAAACTAGCTATAAACTGATTTGAGGAAAAAGTTCAAGAGTCCATGTGGACATAAGTTCATATTACTATGTGAAGTATATTTTTAACTTTTCAATATCTCTAAAATTATCCAGCAATCAATGGCATTTAAAATTGTCATTTTAAATTGCTAGCAACTTCACATGTGCTAGCAATTTTAAATGTTTTCTTTGGTGGTGTGACAGTCGAACCATAACTTCTTGACAGTTGAGTCAACAAACTGTTTGAGAAAAGAGTAAAAGCAGGCACATAAGTTCTAGTTGTTAGGTGAAAATATTCACTAGCAGAAAATAATGATTCAGAATAGATATGAAAACACAAAAATGAATGTTAACATCTTGGAAAAATGTTGAATATCCTGAAGAAAAACATTATAAAAAAATCACTTTAAAAATGCTATATTCTCATAAGTCTTTATTGGAAACAGGTGATAATGTTTGGAAAAATATGTTGTATCTATGGCTTTGACTTAAAATATGATTCATATGTTATATCACAGAAAAGCATTGGACAAAATAAACATCAACAAGCTTTCACCTATATTTTCTTCAATTAGTTTTACAGTTTAAGTCATAATGTTTACATCTTTAATACATTTACATCATGTACGGCTTAAGATAAGGGTTCAATTTCTTATATCCAACATGTCTTTGTTTGTTCTTGCTGCTGTAACAAAATACCTGAGACTGGGTAATTTATAAAGAATAATAATTTATTTTGTCAGTTTTGGGGGCCGAGAAGACCAAGATCAAGGCACCAGTGGATTCAGTGCCTGGTGGGGGTTACTCTCTGCATCCAAGATGGTGCCTTTTGCTGCTTCCTCACATGGTGGAAGGGGTGAACAGCTCTGTTGCACTATTTTTTAAGGACACTTATCCTGTACATGAGGGCTTCTCCTTTATTTACTTGATCACCTGCTAAAACTTCTATCTCTTAATACCATCACATTGGTGATTAAGTTTCAACATATAATTTTCGAGGGGGCACATTTAGATCGTAGCACAAAATAATTGAAATCATGATCTTGAAGAGAAATCTCCACTCACATGTTCATTGCAGAATTATTCATAATAGCCAATATATGCAAACAATTTAAGTGTCCATTGATAAAGAGCTAGATAAAGAAAATGTAGTATATATATACAATAAAATATTATTCAATCTTAAAAAAAAGGAAACCTTACCATTTTCAATAACATCGATGAACCCGAAGGGCATTATGCTAAGTGAAATAAGCCAATCACAGAGGGACAAATACTGCATGATTCTTCTTATTTGAATTATCTATAACAGACAAACTTACACTGTTGGAGAATACAACAGTGATTGCAAGGAGTAGGCAAAATTGGGACTTGTTCAATGGATATAAAGTTTCAGTTATGCTAAATGAACAAGTTCTAGAGATTTTCTGTACAACATAGTGATGGTTTTGTGCACTTCAAATCTTTTTAAGAGAATTGAACTTATATTAAGGGTTCTTTCAAAGAGAAACAAAAATAAACAAAGACACACAAAACAAGTAAACAACCCAAATAAAACCAAAAAAGACATAATTAAACTTTGGAAGGTGATGTATGTGGCTATTACTTTGATGTGGTAATGGTATGACAAATGTTTTCATATGTGCAAACTAATTACGTGATGTACATTAAATATGTGTGATTTGTGTATAAATTATACCAAAATAAAAAGTGCTTATATATCTTGGAGGATTCACAAAAAATTCATAATAATGTCTACTTTCCAGCAAAGTTATTGAGTTAACTTTTTGATGGAGCTGGAGAAAAATTTGACTTTTTATATGAATAAAGTTTGAATTGTTTGTCCTTTTACAATGAGGCTGAATTCATAGATTATATTTATTAATTTGAAAAAATATATACAAATATTAAACTAAGAGTGGGTAAAAGAAAAATGTAATTCTGAAAAGGTAGACTCTTTGAGGAAGTTTTAAAAGCTCATAAAAATTTTATTTTCTCCTATTGTCCCTGTATTTTATTTTAAAATGATATATTCATGATGTCTCTAAATCAACATAAAATATTTTAATATAAATAATTATTTAAATAAATAACCCTTTACATTGGATAATACATAGTGATAGTATCATAAGCTTAATAAGCACTTATCAAATTATTTATGGGCTGTAGTCCAATTTATAGCTGACATTCATGTTAGTTATATAAGGCTTAAAAATCACACTTCTGTCATTATATATAGTACATAATATATATAACATGCACTTGCAAAAATTAACAAATATGCTCACATATTGCATATATTTAAATATATGTATATTTATATACACAAAACTAATTTGGTTGAGGAAGATTATAGTTTTTATCCTAATTTTTTACATATCTAAATGCCTTGCCTTTTAATTTTCAGAATTAATATTTGCCTTTTGAAATTGGCATTCAGGCTCAATGTGTATTTTCATAATTTTCTTTTTAAATTGTAATAGCAAAACCAAATACATTGGATCATTTATCATTTTTCCTAATTTCACTGACATCTGACAAAGAGGCCAGGCTTTTTGTGCTTTTTACTATCTTTTCTGAAACCTCTATTTATTCCCATCAGTTTTTTTTGAAAACTGCATTTTTAATTATAATCTAACTTGTGACTTTTTTTTCCTGTTAACTTGGGGATAAAAATATTACCTCTATAATTTTGTCTTATACTACTGGGAGAAATTCCACGACTATTTATTATATGCCTTTAGGAATATTTTGTGTTCTTTTTAATACTAACTTATCAATTTATATGTATGCGTTAGCAAATTTTGGCAAAATATTTCTCCTTTAAAGAAACATGATAGAATTATATACTACATAGTAGATGAGAACCTTAATTTTTTATTGCAATTTTCTACATATCTATATCACTTTCCTAGTCTCATTTCTGTGAGTTATGTTTATGTGACTGAGCTGTAGCAAAGGGAATGTCATTAGAAGCTATAATGATCACTTCTAGTTTTGGCCCCACCTCCTAGGGGGAGAATCACCTCCCCTGAGAGATTCTTCACCTTCTTTACCCAACAGTCTTGATGGATTCAAGACTTCTATTTGAGGGGATTCAGGCTTTTAATGCAGAGCAACCACAACTGGGAATTGGATGTGGGTCCTTGTATGGTCATATCAAAAGTTGGTCACTTACCAGGAAAACCCACTTTGGCCTCCCGAGAGTAAGAAAGAGGGAAACTCCTACTGCATTAAAGCAATGAATTTGGCTGTTAATATATAAATACAGTAAATCTTTTTCTTACAAATATAAATAATACATTAAGTAACCCTAAAATTTTTACCTTCACAGGATTATGTGTTCCTTCCATCTTCCCCACTCCTTGCAGTTCATCAAATCTAAGGGATAAAGCTAATCCAGTTTGTACTCACTCAACAGAGACTCTACTAGAAAACTAAAGAAAAAATAGATCTGAAATACATTTAAAATTAGGCTACTTTGGAAAGCTTTAAGTCAGATGAGATTTAGAATTTAGGCCTAGGCTCCTTAGCTGGCATACTTTATCAGCAACGAGGATTGTAAATCCTTGTAAATATGTCTTTTCACCATACTCAAATTAAAGTCAAGTTAGAACTGCTTTTTAATTTAGCTGAAAGCTCAGTTTCTCTAAGAACTTAGTTTCTTTTCTTCTCTTTCACCAAAGAGGCATAACTAATTTTTCCTCTGGCTCATGGTTTTGCTGTATTTCTGCTCAGCCACTGACATTTGTTGTTCAATTATTTTCTGAATTTTCCCACAGTTGAT
The DNA here is from genome assembly GCF_000001405.40 of Homo sapiens. Lineage (NCBI taxonomy): Eukaryota > Metazoa > Chordata > Mammalia > Primates > Hominidae > Homo > Homo sapiens. Next base: position 27,378,366 of record NC_000005.10, on the reverse strand, counting down.
GCCAACTATGGTCATACCATATTCTTAAAGGGATTTGAGATTCTTCTAGATTTTTAAAAGTAACTTTAATACCTGAATGTGAGAATTGAAGTGATTGTAACATTTTTGTTACAGGCAGAAACTTCATATGTGCAATGCAAATGCAATTAAAGGCACACTGTGTCTGATGGTCATTTTTATGTGTCAACTTGATTGGGTCACAAGGTGACCAGATATTTAGTAAACATTATTTTGGGTGTTTCTGTGAGGGTGTTTCGAGGTGAGATTAGCATTTACGTTGATGGATTGAATAAAGCAGATTGCCTTCAGTAATGTGGGTGGGCCTCATTCAAATCAGTTAAGGCATGAATAGAAAAAAAAGGCTGGCCCTCCTTCTACTATATGAGAATGATTTTTACCTGATAGCCTTTGAACTGGAACGTTGTTGTTGTTGTTGCTGTTGTTTTTCCCTGCCTTCAAATTCGAATCGAAACACTGATATTTCCTGGTCTTGAGACTGCCAGCCTTTGCGCTAGAATTACAGCATTCTTTCCTCAAAGGCCTGGGTGTCAGGCCTTGCTGACTCACCCTGCAGATCTTGAGACTTGACAGACTCTATAATCCCATGGGCCAATTTGTTATAATACATCTCTCTATATGTGGAACTGTCAATCTATAGCTATAAAAGAGTCTATCTATCTATCTATCTATCTATCTATCTATCTATCTATGTATCTATCATCTATCTATCTATCTCTGTCTATGCGCCCTTTTGGTCCTGTATCTCTGAGAACCCTGAGTATTACACTATTCTAACACAATGATCCTTAGAAGAACAGTTGGAAAATATAAAAGAGCAAATAGTATTTCATGACAGTAACTATTTATAGAACCAGACAGTTTTAAAATTAATTGAATTCTATCATCAGCATAACAAGGAAAAAATAAAGTTCCTTTAGTACTAAAAACTATTCAAATTGGGGTGAAGATTAAAGAGATTTTAATCCGGTGGAGAAAATTAGCCACCTCACTAATTAGCTTCCACAGTGAAAGAAACCTATAAGTAGAAAAATAAATCCAAATGAAGTGAAACATTATTAGAAACATCATTGGTTACAATATGCTGATTACTTTTTTATTTCAAAATGTCACTGAGTTAAAAGTGATACTATCTTATCAGTCAATGCAATAAATAAATCTTTTTTGTTTATTTTTATTCAACTATTTGATAATATTGATTTAGTGTGCTAAATGCTTGGTATTGAGAGTCAAACAATGTGTAAGACATAGAACCTTGTTTCAAAGGCACCTAAAATTTGGTAAAGATAAGCCACATTAAGAAACCTAATAGGAAAAGTGAGGTGAAGTGTTAGAAAAAGCACAATTCCAATACATCGCCATGACATAAAAATTAACAGGTAAACTCTACTGGTCTTGGAAAAGAAAGTTCAGAGAGGTTAAGAAAGGTTGTTTCAGAAGAATAAGTGGAGTCTAATAAGACAAATCAGCATTGGTTTGGTAGACAAGATCTCAAAGTGTCAGGGATCAGAAATGCAGGAGCATCAAAACGTACAGAGACATGAAACAAAATGACATATATTTGGGAGATTTTAAGTTATATGTAAATCTGTGAAAGAAGATATTGGTTGCAGGTGACAAGGTTAAAATATAGGCATCATTAAGTTTTTGTATGCTATAGAAGACACTTTTGTTAAACCTATCTCTTCACTGTTCTTCTTAATAAGATAATTTTGTTTAGTCAACACATTGTGAAATCATAGGCTTCAGGGATGATTGGTTTCTTCCTTATACCTAAGAATGGATTCAATTTCTATTGGTGTGGGCACTGGCATGAATTGTAATATTGACCAATATTTAAAGGTAAGTTAACCAACAAAGTTCTAGGAAGTTTATGCTTTTAACAAAAATAAACAAAAAACATTTGACTTGTCCAACATTGCCTGAATTTCTGGACTCTATTTATTGCTTTTACTTTTGCCTGAAATGAGGCCGTCATTTTTCTTAGCTCTTCTTTCTTATATTACCTTAACAAAGCCTTACAATGACTTCGAGAATTCTCTACTGTGTTTGATCTTCTAATCTATTTATCTAGAATCTAGGATTTGTTTTTGTTCTAGGGAATTGTTCTTCTTTCTAACTATTTTGTCACTGCATAACACACAATGCCATCTTTTCTGTCTTTGACATGAGGATCCTCATTTTTCATACCCACTTTCTAAGCCAGTGCCATGCATTTAGATATTTTTTATTGACGCCTAATTCCTGATGCCAGCATTCTGCATCAGTAAGCAAAAACTAAATTATACTGCAGAAACAACAAAAATGGCAACAGCAACCTCAATAGATTTCTATAACAAAAGTCTATTTTGCATTCACATGTAGTTGGCAGGGGATTAGCAAAGCGGTCATTCTAGAATATCAGATCGTAGAGGGTTTACCATCTTTTAACTACATCACATCACATGAGGCATGCAGTCACCTTCATCATAGAAGCAAGGAAAAAAATGGTGGAGGTGAATGATAAAGTGTTTCTGACTCTTGGAGTTGAGAAACATTGCTTTTGCTTACATTTCATTGTCCAGATCCTTTCATATGGCTCAGAAATTCAGGGCAGGAAAGAATGTCTCCATCTCTAATGGGAATGTTATAGATTTTATTGCTACCAAAAATGATTTTTGTTATGTTTATATGTTTTTGTTTGTTGATGTTATAAATATTATCCACATTTCTATTCATCTATTGATATTTTTCTATTGAGTCATTGTGTTTCTTATCATCTTTGTGGTGTTCTCCATGAATTTTTATTGTCTTCTAATCATAAATGTGTATTTCCTTTTAAATATTATACATTTCATGTTCTTGTTGAGATTTAAGAGTACTGGTTAGTGCCTAGAGAACAGTAGTTTTTGTGAAAGTTTGTTTCCTTTCTGAAACTATACATCAATATACTATTCTATCCACTGAAAATGTGGCTCTTGGGTAGATGTATCCATGCAGGGGTATCTGATACAACCTCACATCTGGCCACCTCCAAATTATTGATTCTTATATCCCCAATTTATGCCTAATTAAAATTCAAAAGAAAAGGTCATAAAAATCAGCAAAGAACCCAGGTGAAATGATATTTTCAACAGTCCCATATCTGGACTACTCATTTTCTTTATAATACTTTCTGCCTTAAGAGTAGCCTTGAGTATTTTAGTATTATTTATTTTCTTATTATTGAGATTTGCTTTTTTAAAAAGTCCTGCATAGAATTCACAGACAGGAATGCGATTTTAAATTATTTTCTCCCATTCCATGGCTTATCTTTCCATTTTCTGTGCTTTTTGAAGAGCAAACTATTTTAAAATTGATAAAATCCAATATGTTAAGATTTAAACAATTGGTTTCAGTGTGACACCTAAAAACTATTCGACTAACCTCAGGGCACAAATGCATTGTTCTATGCTTATTCTAGAAATTTTATGGTTTTAGGTTTTATGTTTAGGACAATGCCTTATTTTCAGCTCGTTTTTGTATAGCTTGTGTTTTTTGTTGTTTGTTCTGCCTTTGAATATTCAAGGTATTTCAGCACTATCTGTTGAAAGGACTACTTTTTCTCATTGAATTGAATTCTATTGTATTTTAATCTACTGACAAATATGTACAGTACTACTTCTGGGATCTCTTTTCTCTTTTTCTGCTTTATATGTCTATATTTTTTCCGATATGACATCATTGTGATAAATGATAATTTGCAGTAGGTTTGGACATCACATGAGAGCAGTGTGAAACTTCCAACTTTTTTCCTGCATTGTTTCATTTATACTAAATTATTTGTCATTTTCAGCAGTTTTACGCTTTCATTATGAAGGAGTTAGGGGAGAACAATCTATGTTAATGCCATTAAAACAGGGGCCACTGTCCATTCTGCCCCAAAGCCTGCATGACAAGCAAGGCTTTCTTCAGATACTCAAATAATTTTTGTGCATACCTGTTGCTGTTTTTGGAGAAAAACCTGAGAGAAATTGGGAATTTCTCCAGTGTATATGACATGAAAGTGTTCTCTAATTTTCACCTAGCCCTCTCTTCCTGATTAATAAAACTTTTTTGCTGAATTCTTTTTACTGGCATCCAGCAGCATAAATACCATGCGAGCTAGTAACAACACAAGTTCTCTATTTGGAGGTGCCTGTCTTTTCTTAAGTTTCTGGTTAGTTTGGGAACCTGTGTCCCCAGTTATTTGATGTACTCAAGAAAATTGTGAAATTGCAGATTATCCAAATTTTTTATATATTTATTTGTTTTTGTTGTTGTCTTAGGGTGAGAGTGAGAGTGACGTTGGTTCAAGCTCTATACATCCCGCATGGAAGCCAATGTTACATACATAGCTCTTTAGCTATATTTTGGGTATTTTCAGCGTAACAGGCCTGTGTTTCCAAAATTCAGCTCTGCCATCCACCACATTATTGATTCCTGTATCCTTTATTCATGCCTAATTAAAAATCAAAATTCAAAATATTTAAACCATAGGTCACAGTGATCAGCCGGTTTAGCTGAATGGTATGTGTTTCCATTCAATACATCTTCTTACTTGAGCTGATTATTTTCTAAGTCTTTTTGTAACACAGGTAACAACAGTACTTTTGAGAGGCATAAGAGCAGACATAGGTAAATTTGGAATGAGCTCAAGTGAGTAAAAGTTCAGAATTGTAATGAAGATGTTAATAAGAATGGAAAGGGAATGGTGGTTTCAGGAGGCAGAAGGGACTTAATTTAATAAGTGATTAACTTCTGATATCTTTAAGAAGTAGACCATGACAGTATGTCCTTGTTTTGTATTGTTTTGTTTTGTTCTGTTTTGTTTTGTTTTTTGGCATGACTGTGAAGAGTGTGAAAATCTTAAGTATAGTAAGCTAGGCACGTGTGGGAATCAATTTGGGAAAAAAACAAATACCAGACATTAATTGATTTCTTTGATGTATGCATATACTCAGCTATTGTCTTACAGATGTTATTTTATTTAATCTTCACAGTTACACTTTAAGATAGGTATTATTTCAATCACAATTGCACAGATTAGGAAACTTAGTCTTAATGAAATTGAGTAGTATGAACACTTTGTGGCAGAGCACAGAATATACCATAACTCAAAGTTTCTAAATCTTAGCACTATTGATATTGTAAGGCTGTATAATTTTCGTGGTGAGCTATACCGCGCACTGCAGGATCTCTGGCCTAGCTTCTACTCACTAGATGCTAGTAATACCCTCATGCCCCACCCAGGCTGGGACAACAAAAGGCATCTCCAGATATTGCCCAAAGTTCCCCAGGGCAAGGGAGGAGGTTTACCCCATTTTTGAGAACGCCTGGTCTCCTCACTCTAACTTCAAACCCTGTGCTATTAACAAGTATTCTAGATTGCCTCCCAGAGTTCACCACGTATCTTTTATTTTGACATTAACAGATTGTCAGTACTATAAATACGGTCACTCTAAATGAAGGCAATGGTATAAACTAGATTTTAAGTACTATATGAAAATTGTAAAAATTAAGTAAAGTTTTCTTGTTTTCATGGTAATTTTAGGATCTCTAGCATATGCATAATATTAAATAATTCACCTAAACCATTTTGTTTCCTATTACATTTTGTTAGCAAAATTAAACTGCTCTTTAAAATTCATAGAAGTCCATCTGTATTTATTATACTTTCCAGACAGGCACATCTTTTTCAACTTCATTTTATGAATCATAATTTACCTTCCAATTATACGTACTTCATGGTAAAGGTCTTTTGCCACATCTAATTAAAGCAAAACAATTAACATTTACATCCCCCACAAGATCTTGGATTTACATTTGTATTATTAACATTACAATTCAAATTATGTTGCCATAGTTTTTCTCAAAATGAAGTGGTAGGTGGAAACTAACATCTGTTAGGGTGGCAACATTACTATTAGTATTCGTATATTTTAATAGACCTTTATTAAATAACCATTCTTTGAATCAGAAATTTATAGTTTCCAGGAGAGACCCAATAGAAACGTTCTGAATTGGAAAAACAAAATGAAACAAATGCTAAAAAAACAGTCACAAGAAAAATTTTAGGGGCTTATGGATGTATAGAATCCCAGTTTGGTTTTAGTTTGAGGAACTAGAGTTTAAAAATTAAATATCATTGAGGAAAAATTCAAACAATTTCAAGTTAAAGGAATATTAATTGGGATTTCAATGGAATTCTATTTATTAAGCAAAATAGTCAAGTAGATTTACATGCAAGTATTAAATCAAGGATAGTAAGCAATAACTTTATTACTTTTTGGCTAAGTAGTAAAGCAAGGGTCTAATTACTGGGGTATTAAAGAAATACTGTTAAAATATGAGAGACCATGATACCAAGAATACACTTTAGTCATTGAACTGGTTTTGTGGTCAGGTGTCTGTTTTTCCTAATTCAAGCTCAAATGCAAATTAATAACTGTAGGAATTTCATAGGGCTTTAAACTACAGTTACTCCATTGATAAAAGTGAAGAGCATATCTATCTTGCAGGAGTCTTATGAAGATTAGGCATTTATTGTTCTTGCTTATGGCAACGATTGGTCTTAGGACCGATGCTGGTGAAGGGTCTAATTACATGTGTAATTAGAAGGCTAAATCGAATTACAGTGGTTAGATGTAGCCAAGACATGCGATATAAGTAATACATCATAAATATTTTTTTTCTACAACTTGTTTGGTGTAAGATGGCAAATAAAAAATAATAAGCATATGATAGCAAGATAATTTATGACCAAAAATGAGAACAATTTTTGATTCTCCTTTTCAGAAAGATTCTTAATCACAATGTAGAAAGAATAGTATAATCCATCTTCAACATTTATCAATACATGTTCGATCTTGTTTCATCTATAGTCCTACCCAGTTCACCATACCTCAATTCATGTGAAGTAAATGCCTATTAAAGAATCCATTTAGGCAGGGCACAGTGGCTCATGCCTGTAATCTCAGCAATTTGTAAGGCCAAGGCAAGTGAGTCACTTGAATCCAAGAGTTTGAGATCATCCTGGGCAACGTGGCAAGACCCTGTCTCTGAAAATACTACAAAATTAGCTGGGTGTGGTGTTGCACACCTACAGTCTCAGCTACTAGGGAGGCTGAGGTGGGACAACCAATTGAACGCACGAGGTTGAGGTTGAGGTTGCTGCAGTAAGCAGTGATCATGCCCACTGCAATCCAGTCTGAGCAACAGAGTGAGACCCTGTCTCAGAAAAAAAAAAAGTGTTTATTTAAAAACATGCCATTATATATCTTTAAAAAAAATTGATTTTTAAAACATAAAGTGTAGCCTCATGTGATAATCACAAGAAATGTCTTAAATATTAGAAAGAGTTATTTTTATTTTTTGAGCAGTTTTAAGACAAATCAAATTGTGAATATAATTAAATGACCAACTCAAAAAAATTTTCCTAGACGCTTTTTTCTTTTTATTTCATTTTGAAGTATAATTGGCCTGTAATGAATTTCATACATTGCATGTATACTTTCACTGTTTGTGTATGTATATATAGATGTCTATGAGTATGTACATATGTGTGTGTATATATATTATATATATATTTATATATCTCAATTGCTGTGCATACCATATCCTTAATCTCAGAAAAATTATGTATACCTTCAGGGCAATGTTCTCTCTCAGATGCAACCGCAAATCACATTTCTGATTCTATAACTATAGATCAGTTGTGCTTGTATTTTTTTGCTTTACATAATAACATTATAAAACATGTAGCCTTTATGTCTGAAATATCTTACTCAATATAATGAGATTCACCCATATTGTTGCATGTGTCAGTAACTTCTTTAAAAGTATTACTGAGTAGTATTATATTAATGTACTATAATTTGCTTATTCGTCTGTTAATGAACAATTAGGTTGTTTCCAATCTGGGGCTACTATGGCAAGTAGTTTTGAATATATGTTTTTGTATCTCTTGGTCACACCTAGGAAAAGAATTATACTTTTATAGGATAAGTGTCTTTTTAACTTTACAAATAACTGTGAAATAGATTTCCCAAATTAGTTGCATCATTTTATACTCTCACTAGTAATGGATGGTGAGAATTGCAGTACCTACAAATAATTACCAACATACGAGCTCTCAGTTTTTGAAATTTTAGCATTTTTATTGGATTTGATGCAATATGTTATAGTTTCAATGTGCAGTTTCTTCATGTTGAGGCTGTTGAGTACCTATTGATGTGATTATTGGCCCTGTGTATACTTTTTGTGAACTTTCTTTTCAAGTTGTTTGACCATATTTGGGGTTGCTTTTTTATTATGGAGTTGTATAATCCTAGCAGATGCTGTGTTGTACTCAATGTCTCCTTTTTTACCTTTTTTTGAAGAATTGGATCCTTCATTTCTCCAGCCCCAGCTCTTAGTAGCTGACAGTATCGAGCCAATTCCCTTTCTGGATATTGCCCTCAGATGAAACTAGCTGCTTTGTTCAAATCAGGCTCTTAGACAGCTGGTGAGCTTGCACAGAATAAGCTGGTTGGTGTGGTCATGTCATGCTGTTGCCATCTTACTTTAACTGTGACAACTCTGAATGGATTTCCTAGTTCCAGAGCGCCTCCTAAGATGAGCAAAATTCTTTATTGTGATTGTAACGTATTTTGACTTTTCTCTAAGACAATCTTGTTTTCTCTACCTCTGTAGAAGTGTTGAGCACAAGAGCCCTCCAGACTAACTTTTCTACATGAAATTCTTTGTCTCAAATTATTTTTCCCAATGACTCTTTCCTGTGACAATTGGTAATAAGAACTCCCAGCTAAGAAGTCTGAGATGCTCTACTGGAGAGAAACATGTCACAAGGAACAGAACTAAGATCCCCAACGTGTGAGTGAGAAGGCCCTCTGCACCAGTCTGTTAAAGTGAGACTTCAGTTGACTTTAGCCTAGTTAATTTCTCACTGCAAATATATGAGGTACTGCAAACATGTAAGGTACATATGAAGAACCATTCAGGTAAGCCCCAGAAAATACATAGAAACATGAGATGTAGTGATGATTTGTTTTAAGGCACTAAGTTGTGAAAAAGTTTGTTATGCAGCAATTAATAACTGGAACACTGGTCTATATTTATTATTCCCTTAAATATATGTATTTTAGAACTGGTTCTTATCAAGATTCTTGAAATGAAACCTCTTATCAGTGATTTTAAGCTATTGTTTTATTCTAATACAGTCGTTTATGGCAATAAATTTCCCTCCTAATGCTACTGAAACTGCAACTTACAAAGTTAATATCATGTGTTCTTATTGTCATCCAATTTGAAATATTTATACATTTATTTTGATTCCCTTTTTACACATTTGAATTAATTTATAATTGTATTGTTTAATTTCAAAACATTTGTGGAATATATACATAGAGAGAGATAGAGATTATTGATTTGTAATATAATCCATTGTGGTGACATATACCTTGCAAAGTTTTAATCTTTTGAATTCTTTGATGTTTATGCTAATAAGAATCACATGTACATTCAAAAACAAAATAAAACAATGTAAAATATTAGGTAGTTGAGAATAACTGTTAGACCCCATGTTCTCCAAATTTCTGTGAGGTCAAGTTTGTTGGTATTGATTATTTGTTTACGCATTCTGTCAACTGCTGTGAAGGCAATTTTGTTCCAACTGTAATTTTAGATTTGTCTATTTACACTTTTGGTTCTCATGACTTTTGCTTCATGCATTGTGAAACTTCCATTATGTCTATACATATTATTATGACTAAGGCTTTTGAAGGATTAACCTATTTTTATTATTACAAGTGTTCTTTTTTTTCTCTGAAAGTTTCCTCATTTTGAAGTGTGATTTTCCTGGCATTAATAGAGACATTCTAGCTTTATTATAAACAATATTTGCATGGGCCATCTAAAAATCATGTTACCTTTAGCCTTTTAATATACTCATATTTAAAGTGTACATCAGGGATTTCCAAGCCCCTGTTGTATTGTTACTGGGTCAGTGGCCCATTAGGCACCAGGCACACAGCAGGAGGTGAGTGGTGGGCCAGCAAGCCAAGCTCCCTCCGTATTTACAGCCACTCCCCATCACTCACATTATTGCCTGATCTTCCCCTCCTGACAGATGAGCTGCAGTAATTAATTCTCTCAGGAGCACAAACCCTACTGTGAACTGTGCATGTGAGGGATCTAGGTCTCATGCTCCTTATGAGAATCCAATGCCTGATGATCTGTCACTGTCTCCCATCATCCATAGATGGGACTGTCGAGTTGCAGGAAAACAAGCTCAAGCCTCCCACTAATTTTACATTATTGTAAGTTGTCTAATTGTAATATTACAATGTAGTAATGATAGAAATAAAATGCATGATTAATGTAATGTTCTTGACTCATCCTGAAACCATTCCCTTCCCCCCAACCCTCAGTCCATGAAAAAATTGTCTTCCATGAAACTGACTCCTGGTGCCAAAAGGCTGGGGACCATGGGTGTACATCATGCAAACTCGTTTCTAGATAGATTTTCCAATTTTATCCAGACTTGTAATTCCTGTTTTTTTTTTTTGAGTATTCAGTTTATTTATATTTCATGCACTAATTCATATTAATAAATTTAAGTATACCATCTTAATGTTTGCTTTTTATTTTTCAGATCTCTTTTTTACTCAGTTTTTTTTCTTTCTTTCCTTTGGATTGTGTATTTTTTAGTGTTTTAATTTATCTATCAAGTTGATTTTTGTCGAGACAACTTCGTTTTAACATTTACAAAATGCTCTAGGGATTATAGCATGCAAGCTTTACTTACCATAAATTATTACTTATCATGAATTACTGTTATACTGGTTTATATATAATATAAATTGTACACAGAGTGCTCACATTTAATTTCCCCTGTACTTTGTAATATCCTATTAATATATTTTCTCAGTACATGTCACAGCTACACAGTACATTTTATTCTGTCACTTAAACTATCAATGGGGTTTAAAAAAATTAAATATCTAACTATAATTTCACTATCTTGTACATCTGACTTTCTTTTTAAATATTATTGTAACTTGACAAATTAAAATTGTATATATTTGATATTCTATCTGGTATTATTTCCTAGTACAAAGAACTTTCATAATATACATTGTAGAACTAATTTAATAGCTATGAATTATCACTGTTTTCATTTATTTGAAAATTTTTTCCCCTTTGTTACATACACATGATTGGTCGACAGCCTTTTTTTTTTATTTTACTGTCCTTCCATTGTTTTTGGCTTCAATTGGTTTTGCTGGGTGAAATCAGGCATTATTTATAACATTGTTTCCCTGTATGTAATGTGTTTTTATTCTAGCCTTTTAAGAATGTAACCTTGTTTTTCAAATGAATAGCTACAATATGCCCAGGTGTGGCAATTTTTCATTTCTATTCACCTACTATGCAGCTTTTGAGCATGTTAAATCTAAAGAAATTTTAAAATCAAATTTGGAGAAAATTCACCCATTATTGCTTCAAATATTTTAAATGATGTTCTTTCCTTTGTTTCATTCTTGGACTTCAATCCCTTGATGTTACACCTCAGATAACTGTTACTTCTCTATTCTGTATTTTATTATTTCTCTCTCTGTTGCAATGTAAATATGTTCTATTAACTTCTATAAATACAAATTTATATTTTTCATTTGCAATGTTCAGTTATTTTTGTATATTTTGTATATGTATGTATAAATATAATGTATACGTTTATATACACACACATGCAGATTTCTAGTTTTTAGTTCTACAATTTCAATTTGACTCCTCATAAACATCTTATGCTGATCCTTAATTATACATCTCCCCACAATACTTTCCAAAATTCCCTATAATTTCTTTCACATATTTATAGTACATTGGTTAGTTAATGCTAATGTATGGTGTATCCGTGAATCTGCTTGAATTGATTATGTATTTTGTCTGTTATGTGCCACATTTTCTTGTTTGTTTTTTTGTAATTTTTAAAATTCATTGTTTTGATCAAGTAGACCGTAATTTAGCATGGTTTACTATTTGTGTTTTAAAGTTTAATGGTTTTGGAAAAATGCATAATACCATGTATTCTTCATTACAGTATCCTACAGAATAATTTAATCACTTCCAGATTTCCCTATGCTTTACTTATTTCTCCCTCCACTCACTGAAATCTTACCAACCACTGATCTTCTTATTATCCTCCTAGTTTTGCCTTTTTCAGAATGTTACAGAGTTGGAATTAGAGCATATGTAGTCTTTTTAGGCTGGCTTTCTTCATTTAGCAATATATACTAAGGTTTTATATATATATGTGTGTATACATATGTGTGTGTGTATATATATTCATGCTCATATATATGAATGTACCACAGTTTTCTTATCCATTCATCAACCGAGAGACATATGAGGTGCTTTTAGTTTGGGCAAATATGTATAAAGTCATTACCAATATTCGTATGTAGCAGGGTTTTGTGTGAACATTAGTTTTATATTTGGGTAAATATTGAGGGTGGTGATAGTTGGATAAGGCTATGGTTAGATTTTTGACAATCTGTCTTGCAAAGAAGCTATATTAGACCATTTTCATGCTGCTGATAAAGACATGCCAAGACTGGGAAGAAAGAGGTTTAATGGACTTACAGTTCCATGTGGCTGGGAAGCCTCATAATCATGACAGAAGACAAGGAGGAACAAGTCATATCTTACATGGATGGCAGCAGGCAAAGAGAGAGCTTGTGCAGGAAAACTCCTATTTTTGAAACCATCAGATCTCATGAGATTCATTCACTATCACGAGAACAGCATGGGAAAGACCTGCCCCCATGATTCAATTACCTCCCACCAGGTTCCTTCAACAAAACATGGGACTTGTGGGACTTACAATTCTAGATGAGATTTGGGTGGGGATGCAACCAAAGTATATTATTCTGTCCCTGCCCCCTCCCAAATCTCATGTCTTCACATTTCAAAACCAATCATTCCTTCCCAATAGTCATTCAAATTCTCAACTTATTTCAGCATTCACTCAAAAGTCCACAGTACAAAGTCTCATCTGAGACAATGCAAGTCCCTTCTGCCTATGAGCCTGCAAAATTAAAAGCAAGTTAGTTACTTCCTAGATACAATGAGAGTACAGGCATTGGGTAAATACAGCTGTTCCAAATTGGAGAAATTGGCCCAAAAAAGGGGCTACAGGCCCCATGCAAGTCCGAAATCCAGTGGGGCAGTCAAATCTTAAAGCTCCAAAATGATCTCCTTTGACTCTGTGTCTTACTCAGGTCATGCTGATGCAAGAGGTGGATTCCCATCATCTTGGACAGCGCTGCCCCTGTGACTTTGTAAGGTACAGCCTCCTTCTGGCTACTTTCATGGGCTGACATTGAGTGTTGGAGGCTTTTCCAGGCACACTGTGCAAGCTGTCAGTGGATTTACCATTCTGGGATCTGGAGGAGAGGTGGCCCTCTTCTCACAGCTCCACTACATGGTGCCCCAGTAGGGACTCTGTGTGGGGGCTCCCACATTTCCCTTTCTTCACTCCCCTAGCAGAGGTTCTCCATGAAAGCCATACCCCTACAGCAAACTTCTGCCTGGATATCCAGGTGTTTTCATACATCCTCTGAAATCTAGGTGGAGGTTCCAAACCTCAATTCTTGACTTCTGCGCACCCGCAGGTTCTTCACCATGTGGAATCTGCCAAGGCTTGTGGCTTGCACCCTCTGAAGCCACGGCCTGAGCTGTACCTTGGCCCCTTTTAGTCATAGCTGGAGCAGCTGGGATACAGGACACCAAGTCCCTAGACTGCACACAGCACAGGGACCCTGGGCCTGGCCCATGAAACCATTTTTTTTCTCCTAGGCCTCTGGGCCTGTGATGAGAGGGGCTACGATGAAGACCTCTGACATGCCCTGGAGACATTTTTCCCATTGTCTTGGGGATTAGCATTTGGCTCCTCATTGCTTGTGCAAATTTCTGCAGCTGGCTTGAATTTCTCCTCAGAAAATGGCAATTTCTTTTCTATCGCATTTTCAGGCTGCAACTTTTTTGAACTTTTATGCTTTGCTTCCGTTATAAAACTGAATATCTTTAACAGCACCCAAGTCACATATTCAATGCTTTGCTATTTAGAAATTTCTTCTGCCAGATCCCCTAAATCATCTCTCTCAAGTTCAAAGTTCCACAAATCTTTAGGGCAGGGGCATAATGCCACCAGTCTCTTTTCTAAAACATAACAAGAGTCACCTTTGCTACAGTTCCCAACAAGTTCCTCATCTCCATCTGAGATCACATCAGCCTGGACTTTATTCTCCATATTGCTATCAGCATTTTGGGCAAAGCCATTCAACAATCTCTAAGAAGTTCCAAACTTTCCCACATATTCCTGTTTTCCAAGCCCTCCAAAGTTTTCCAACCTCTACCTGTTTCCCAGTTCCAAAGTTGCTTCCTCACTTTCGGATGTCTTTTCAGCAGCAACCCACTCTACTGGTACCAATTTACTGTGTTAGTTCATTTTCACACTGCTGATACACATTCCCATAGTGGGAAGAAAAAGAGGTTTAATGAACTTAACAGTTCTGCATGTCTTTGGAGGCCTCACAATCATGGTGAAGGCAAGGAGGAGCAAGTCACAACTTACATGGATTGTGGCAGGCGAGAGAGAGAGTTTGTGCAGGGACACTCCTGTTTTTAAAACCATCAGATCTCATGAGACTTATTCACTACCATGGGAACAGCATGGGAAAGGCCCACCCCCATGATTCAGTTACCTCCCACTGGGTTCCTTCCATGAAACATGGGAATTGTAAGAGTTACAATTCCAGATAAGATTTGGGTGGAGACACAGGGAACCCACGTCAGCAGCTGTACCATTTTGCATTCCCATCAGCGATGAATGAGACCTCCCATTGCTCCACAATTTTGCCAGAGTTTGGTATTGTCAGGATTTCGTTTGGTTTTGGATTTTAAGGTATATGAAGTGATATCTTGTTGTTCAGTTTTCAGTTACCTTCAAGATTTTGTTACTTATCTTTGATTTTCTGCAGCTTGAATATGTTATATCTAGGTTAATTTATTTTTGGCATTTATCCTGCCTGGTGTTCCCTGGATCACCAGGGAACTTCCAGAATCTGTGGTGTTTCCTGATCACTGGGGCTTTCTTGATTTGTCGTTTGGGGTCTAACATTAATTTGGAGAAATTCTCAGTCAATATTGCCTCAATTGTTTATCTTGTTTCTTTCTCTTCTACTTCTTCTGATAACTTAATCATGCATATATCTTTAGTAGATGGTTATTGAATATTCTGTTCTTTTTTTTAGTGTCTTTTTTTTCAATGTTTGACATTAATATTGACATTTTTTCAAACTCAGAGATTCTTTCTTCATCCACATCCAGTCCCCTAATGAATCCATCAAAAGTGTTATTTCTGTTACAGCGTTTTTGATTTCTTTTTGCTTCATTCTTAGAATTTAATCTCTCTGCTTACAAACTGTCACCTCCAAAACTCATGTGGAAATTTAATTGGCATTGTGATGATATCAACACATGGAGCTTTTAACAGGTCATTAGGTTATAAGAGTTCTGCTTTAATGAATGGATTAATGCTGTCATCTCTTGAGTAGGTTAGTTATTGTGAGAGTCTGGCCTCCCTTTTCTCTCTGTTTATTGTGCTCTCACCCTCTCTCACCTCCTCTCACCATCTGATGCCTTCCTCTATGTTAAGAAGCAGCAAGAAAGCCCTAATCGGATTTGGCCCCTCAATCTTGGACTTCCCAGCCTCCAAACTGTGAGTCAAAAAAAAAAAAAAAACTCTCTGCTCTTTTTCTTTTTTTAAAATAAATTACACAGTCAGTGGTATTCTATAAATGCAGCAGAGAATGGATTAAGATATTACCCATTTGTTCTGCATGTTTTCTGTTTTTCATTAGAGCTCTTAGCATATTAATTATAGTTGCTTTAAACTCAAGGTCTGAAAATACCAGCAGTCCTGCCATATCTGAATCTGGTTCTAATTCTTGCTCTTTCTTTTCACACTGTGATTTTGTCTTTTAATATGCCTTGTAATTTTTTCATTGAAAACTGGACATGGTGAAAGAAACTCTAATAAACAGGGTTGAAAGAAACTTCTTACTTAGAGTTTATGGGTGAAAGAAACACTAATAAATAGACCTTAGTGATGTGGTGGGAAGGTGTGAGAGGGGAAGCATTCTGTATTTCTATGATTAGGTCTCAGTCACTTAGTGAGCCTATGCCTCTGAGCTGTGACCTGCACAAGTGCTTATTAGACCCCACTTTTAGGTGAGACAAGTTGGCTAGAGGGGGCTGGAGTTGGATATGTCTCTTCCTCCAGGTTGGTTAGGCTTTGACAAAATCTCAGTAGGCTCTGATGAAATAATTTCTTTTGAAGCCAGGCCTAGTTAAGAAAAAATGATGTGGCATATTTCAGGATGATTATTTTCCCCTTTTTCTACTAGGGAATTTTCATCAATATTCACTGTGAGAACCTAGTAGAGCTCCAGAAAGCAAAATTCACAAAAGTGTGCTTGCCCCCCACCTCCACCCCACTGCACCACTCTTGCACTGAAGTTTTAACTTACAGACTTAGCCAACCTGAGCTTCCAGCAATTCATCAATTATAGCTCAAGCTTTTCTGCCCAGGTACTGGTTCCTGCAGTTTTTATTCACTGGTTTATGCTCTGAAAAATTCTGATTTTCTGTATCTGCCTATCTGTCTTTCCGTTTTTCCTCCTGTGACCTCATTTATTTGAGCAATATAAAAAGAGTTGTTACTTTTTTTTAGCTTGTTGAGGCTTCCATTTGTAGATAGCATGGCATGGTGACTTCCAAACTGCTGGAGTGAAGAGTGAAATTCCCAATATGTAGTTGCTTAAGGGCACATAATCACTATCTTTTCATAAGCTTACTTGTCATCTTTAGATCTTCTTTAGTGAGTTGTTTGTTCTAACATTTTGCCCACTTTATTAAGTGAACGGTCAGTTTTCTTGTTGCTGAGTTTTAAGTGTTCCAGGTATACTTGGATATGATGAATTTCAAAATGACTACTTTCCACTGGGGAATTTTATAAGATGGTTATGTTTTCTCTTTCCCTGCCCCTAAGTACAGGGGAGAGGGGAGTAAGGAACTAGGGAGAGGGTTTTTTTCTGATCTTCACAGTGAGAACCATGCAGCATTTCTACAGGGAAAACTATTGAAACTGTCAGGGCTCGTCTTAGACTGGCTCATAGGAATTTAACTCTGTAGCTACAGCACACTTGGGTTACGGCACACTCGGGTTATGGCAACTTATTGGTATCTGTTTAAGTATTCCTAATATTTACTGGCTCCTGCAGCTTCTGCTCCTTATAAATTATGATTTTTCTGTGTTTGCTTGTCTCTCAAATTTTCTGGGTGACAGTTTGCCCTTTGACTTAAATTCTCTGATGCATGTAGTTGCTTATTTTAAGTTTTCAGGTTTTTCATCTGAGTGTGGAAGTGGTGATTTTCAGGCTTTTTACATATCACAGTGAAAACTGCTGTTATGTCATTTTAAATTATATTTAAAACATTGTATATAACAATAGTCTGGAGTGTAATGTTGTCCTTTCCTGGATTTTCTACTTGGTTTTGTTGGAATGTATTTCTACATATGTGACAATACCAAATTCTCTGAATTATAGAGGCTTAATAGTATATTTTATGTCTCAGAGAAGTAATGCTTTCTCATTTCTATTTTTTCCCAGCTTTTAGGCTGTCTTTGCTTCTATGTGACTAAAAATGAACTTTGTAATTAATTTTAATAACTACAGGAGAGGAAGGAAAATGAATGTCTTTTATTTAGAGTTGCTTAAATTTGTAAATTAACTTAGAAAAAAATGCAGTATTTATTGTGCAAATTACTTCTATCCAAACACACTGTATTTTCATCATGTTTTCACATCTATTTTTTTGTGTGATTCAGTTCTACAGACATAAGCATTTACTTTCAATTTATTTATTTCTAGTTTTACTCCCAAATTATTTATTGTTATGGATTTTATTGTAAATAAGGGTTTTCCCTATAATTTAATTTTTATAGTCTTTTGTTTTCATGTATGTAAACTACTCATTGTGCACATTTTATTGCTATACTTTAGTAAGCTTTCCTGTTTTTCACGGTAGTTCACCCACTGATTTATGTAGAATTTCCAGATATGAAATTATATCACATTGTCTCCAATTCTTATTTTTCTTCAATTCTGTCCTCTAATATTTTTATTTTGTCTAATTGCATTGAATAATGTCTTCCACATTATTTTAAATAATAGCAGAAAGAGAGGTCATTTTATATTTGACTTTAGCAGAAAAGCTTTTTGTGTTTCCATTAAATAAGATAGAAGATTTTGGTTCAAAGTATAATATTTCATCAATTAATATTTTTAGTGCTTTTACTGTAAATTGATATTCTTCATTTATTTATAATTTGTAAGATTATCATATGCATTTTTCTTATTATAGTGTTATGATCAATTACTTTAAAATAGTTAATAGCATTGAAATTTTTGAATTTTTAGTTGGTGTAAAGTCAGCATCTTTAAAATTTTTATTTTTTCTGTGTGTTATCTTCATTCTATGTTGTTTATTTAATATTTTTAAATTGAAGCTCATAAAAGAATTTGGTATATGTTTTTGATTGGGGGTACTTTTTGTCCATTTTGGAAAACAATTTTATATTCTCATCATAAAACAAATGTAGAGGTTTCCCTTCTTTTTCTATACTCTGGAATAGTTTGAGGTCAATGAAATTATCTGCTTTTCAAAAGTCTGTTGCATTTCTGCAAAATTCTGGAGTAAATTTAGCACTATTAATAATTATACCAGGGTAACGGTGACATAATACAATTAATACTGTGACAATATGAAGACCTATGGCTGTTTATAATAAAGTAATTATATTTATATGCATCCTTTGTACTTTTCTTCAAAATGACCATATTCAAAATATATAACTGCTGTTTTGTTATTGTTTGTTAAGATGTTAAATCATCATTTTGGTATTGCATGCAAACTATGTTTGCATGCTATTTAAAAATATGCTTATCTATTTTTAACATAACACTTTTTAAGTTAACAGATTTACCTAGATTGGTTATTTATTATCATTTAGTTCAGTCATTAAATTTTGATTACATACATTAATTTCACACACTCTCTACTAGTGCAATGTTATGACTATGTCATAGATATAGTTATGGTACATTTCCTTTTATCCCACAATGGAGAAATGAATAATGTTGTGATACTAATACCCAGACAAGTGTATGGCTTCTAATAGCAGGTAAAAAACATAATTATACTATATTTCTGGTAACATATGTTAATAAAATTATCCCTAGAAATATGAATTTAAGCAACTTATTCTTATGAGAAGTCCTGCTAATAACAAGTTCAAGATTGTGAGAAATCATAATGCCTTATCTTTTAGATCTTTAGCATGAAATTGAATGTAAATGGAACTATTATCTCATTATTTCAAATAATATATTAGAAGTAATTATATTATTTTAAAATAAATATATTAAATTCTAATACATTATTCAATAATGTGTTGTATCTTAATAATTATATTACATGATGATGAACATCATGGTCCCTAAATTCAGTTGGTTTGAATTGCAACAAAAGCTTCATCAATATTAATTGCTCTAAAGACTTTGGACAAGGAGTTTAACCCCTCCAAACTCCTGATCTTTAATTTTAAAAAAGGTGACCCCAGTAGTAACTAGTTTATAAAGCTGGTGTAAAAATTAAATATTCCTAGCCCTTAGTAAGCAGACAAGTGTTCACTATATTTTTTATTAAATAAAAAAGGCAAAATGTCTGATGAAATGTAAACTTCTCATTCTAAGGCTTATCAAAACTCACCAATTTCATTTTCTTCTGGGGTCTCAGCAAATTCCATTGATATTTACCAAACTGTCAGACAATTATCTGATATGGTTACCTTGGGTACGTTTCCTAGTTCAAGCACCTCGGCTGGCTCATTTGAAGCAATTTTATTCTGAAGCAGATATTTCAGAAGATATGATAGCATTGACCTTGCAAGTGTGCAGCCTGATTGTTTCTATTATGTTTATGGTGGAGCTTTGGGGTAGATCCAAACCATTCCTTTTTTTTTTTTTCTTTTCGGATATTTAAGGTCCCTGAGGCAGGAATTCCTACTACTTTCCTACTCACTGCCAGCATGAAGCCCAACATTGATCCACCCATCATGGGGGCTTATTCTTCATCTGTTTATCTGTCATAAGTGTTGAAGGAGAGAATAAGGATTATTTTATTCCTCTATATAGATTTTTAATACAATTTTTATCCCTACGTAGGAAACAAGTTACCCTCTCCAGCTATAGTAGATATAAGATGATATTTTTATTCCCACTTGAATAATATGTCTATTAAATGAAATTCTAATTAGATAGAATTCATTAGAGAGGAGGAGTAATTAATTAGGTTTACCTGGACCGCGTATAGTGTAGAAATTAATTAAGTAACAAATTTTAAAATGCTTTCATGCATTTTCAAAATGGTATTATCACCTTCAATAAATTACTTTCTATGCTGTTGCCTCTTTACTATTGTACCTATAGTAGAACTAAACAGCTAGACACCCAATTTCTAAATACCTTTTAATTTAATCTTTATGACATATCAAAAAAATTTATCTCCCCATAAGACACATATTGCTTTCCCCTCAAATCTGTATATTGTATATTTTATTGCTATTGTATAACTGTATTAAATATGCATTTGTGTGTTTTTTCTTTCTCATTGTGTAAGCTAAATTCAAAAAGTATGTCTGTCAAATATTTTGTATAATAATCAACAGAGGACGATAGTACTCATATCGATTTAAGTGTTGATGTTGCACAATGATGACAAGAGACTCTTGTAAAAAAGCAGAATATGGGCTATGGAGTCAGAGCAACATGCATTTTAGTTCTGCCCTGTCACTAAATACACCTGTGCAATTAGACCAATTACCTACCTTTTGGCACCTACTTATACTTCTGTTACCTGGAGTTTATAATCATTACCTTACCACTATGTGTATCTGTCTGCTGGCACCGTGTGTATCTGTCTTGAAATAACATTGTATCCTGCTTTAGGATTCCAATAATTGTCTTAACTTGTCACAAGCAAATGTCTGCTTCTTTTAGATAATGAAAATGAAAATCTATCCTGTGAACATTTTACAGTGTGATCTAGGATCATTTTACACCAACAAGTTCAGCATTTTGTCTGTATGGCAATTAATATTATAATTGGATTTAAGAAATTCATGTATTTTTTTCTCTACACAAATTACTGAAAGATGCAAAGTACATAAATTGCAAGGGAATGATGGATTCAGCACAATATCTTCTCTAAAGTTACCACTTACCATATGGCGATCAGATTACGAATGGAATCACTACACGAAAGTTCTTGAGAGGAATCTACATGTCCCTTCAAATTTTTCTTGCAAGTAGTTTTAAGCATCAGTCATGAAGAAATCATCCACATGTGACTTTATTTAGTATTACAGAATATGTATTAACAACAAGTTTAACTTCACAGGCGGTATGAGGTGATGACTCCATAAACTTACACTACGCATACATACACATGCAATAGAGACATTGAGTGACTGTAGTTATTTCTTATGAGGTCACAAGATTTTATAATTAGTGACATAATAACCATTTTTTGATATCAAATTCATACATGTTGGTTGTACAAAAAAACAAAAAAATTAATTATGATAATCTGATTAAACCAAGAAAAATATACTCCTGCACATAATGTATAACATATGCACAAATGGCAATGAGATACATACTACTTTTTAAAGTTTGCAATAGACCAATAAAAGTAAAATGTGATTTTGTTAAATTTAATTGTTTTGAAACACTGATTTATGAGATTTTTATTGCTTAATAAAATAGAGTTAAACTCACGTTATCATAATAATAATAAAATTTTCTTATTGAGTTAGATAATGATCTTGAGGAGACAATTAGTGGGTCCCTATGTTCTTAAAACATCATAAAATATGAAAATTCCATGTAAAGCAAGTCTTGGCTCTGATAAATTGACCATTAAAAAGAGGAAAAAAATGAGGAAGAGTTCCCTGTTTTGGGGAGAGTAAGGAGATGGCAGGAATAAGGATAAAGTTTACAATGAGTTCTTATTATGGAGGGTATTGGGTGGAGAAGAGGTGGCTTGTTTTAACTCCATTATATCAGTATATGTCGGTGCATTTGAAAGGGCTGGTGTGTTACACAGGAGTAACAGGTATATATTTGGTTGAGGTTATGCAATACCCTATACTTTTTAAGTCATTTGGATGATTAGATATTTAGGGGTGTGTGTGTGATTTTTTTAGAGACAGTGTCTGTGTGTGGTGCCCAGGCTTTGTCTCTAACTCCTGGGCTGCAGTGATCCTCCTACCTCAGCTTTCTGAGTAGCTGGACTACAGGCATGCACCACCATGCCTGGCTAAGTATGTAGGTTTTAATGGGGGGTGGCATGTGGCAGTATGCTAACATTCAGAATTTAAATTAGGCTTCCTTAAGAATCTACCCATCTACAATAACCAGGAAGGAAATAGGAAAAGACTCACTAGCCAGAAACTAGGTGATTCTTACACTTCGAGTTCAAACTTTAAAATTTCTAAATTGCAGTCTTTTACATATTGCTAAAAGCTAAAATCTATCAAAACATTTTCTTATTGTCAGGCAAGGGATTAGGACCTTATGAGTCTGAAGTGTGACAGACTGTATCTCATCATAATCTACAGGGGAAGAGACAGTGGACCTTGAAATTTTGATTTCTCAAACTTGAAAACTCTATTTGAAAGGCTTGCTAATAACATATCAAACAGTTATTCAGAAGTGTTAATTTGTGTGGTAAAACATTAAGTTCATATTATATTTTTAAACTTTCATTATTTTTCTAAAAAGAAACACACAGATTGGAGGAGTGAAAAATTCTTGTTTAGCAAACATTTGCCATCTCTCTAGAGCAAGAGAGAGGTTTATCTCCTATTTCTGATAAACAAATTAAACCATTGTTTTGATTAATAATTATAAACATGGATATAGTGGGTAATAAAATTCTAAATGTACTTGCATTTCTAAAACAGATTAAGCAAATTCAAAGAAACTTTGGGTTAATGGAACATGTATTTATGCTGTTTAGGAATACAATTCACTTTCCTTTGCCATTAGTTGGAAGTTAATAAATGAATTAGTTCAATAAACATATACTGGGTGCATATGATTTGACACAATAAACACGGCCTTGACTATAAAATAGTAAAGACAATATATACTTTTCATCCTCATGGTCATTATAATTTCATAGAGAATAAGAATAATTAATCTATTATTATTATTTTTAAGAAAATAGTTTTAGAAACGAAATTAACAGATGGACTGTGTTAGAAAATAAAGAGTGGGGCTGTAGTATTCTATCTTGATAAAATGAGAAGGTAAGATTCTACAGGGTTCTCTTGGTCACTATGTATGGTATTGACTGCCAGGTTTTTATATAACTTCTATTCCTCATTGTTTTAGCTCCTTTTTGTATTCTACTTTGCTTGGCTGGAAAGTATGTTTTAGCTCCTTTTTTATTCTACTTTGTTTGGCTGGAAAATAACTTCAGTTTTCCATAATGATATACAGCTCTAATGATGTATGAACCCTTTCTCATATAAGAATACCTTTCTATCTGTTTTCTAAAAAGAACAGCAATTATTACAACAAAAACAAACTTTATGAACTTGCTGGGAATAAAATAATTGTTTGATAACATTTTCCGAAAAAATAAAATAAAATAGAGTGAAAGCTCTTTCCATTACTGAGATATTTATTATAGTTTATGTGTTGGAGGCAGGCAAATTTTGAACTATTTGAAGAAAATCTTCTCTATCACTGAAAACTTACAGGCTATGTTCCTCATTCTTACGGCTCAATATTTTGCCTCTGTAGTTCTATGGACGAGACTGTATTGGACACCTCTAGGATATCACTCAAATCCTTCTAGCCTCAGCAGCCACTGCTGAAGTGACTAGTTCTGAGCAGGTTTACTCGCCAGCATCTAGCCTCAGGGCCTTTTGATCACAGCCTTAGGACTTTTTCATGTGGGACAATCGCCATTCACACGTGTACCCTTTAAATGCCACACGTGATCATTGAAGGATGCTGGAGAATGGATAAACGCTCCCTTTAAAACCCCCAATGCCATGCACACTTCTGAGATTCATTTCCAAATGCTCCACAATATGTCTCACAGGATTAAACACTAGTTGCCAAATTGGAGATCAACTTCTTCTTAAGTCTTTTCTCTTAATTTACTTTGGCTGCTATAACAAAATATCCTTGACTTGGTAACTTATAAACAACCAAATTGTATTGTTCACGGTTCTGGAGGCTGAGAAGTCCCAGAACAAGGTGCTAGATTTGGTGTCTAGTGAGGGCTCATTCTCTGCTTCATAGGAGGCACCTTCCAGCTGTATTTGTCACCTGGCAGAAGGGGCAAACAAGCTCCCTCAGGCCCCTTTTCTAAGGGCATTAATGTCTTTTTGGAGGGCAGAGGTCACGTGATCTAATTACCTCCCAAGTCCCCATGTCTTGACAGCGCCACATTGGGGATTAGGTTGCAACATATGAATTTTGGATGGACACAAATATTTCGACCATAACATCGTCCTCAATAGCTCGTTATTAAATTGATTTTTTGTTTCTCCCTGTTCCATTTTTGCATTCCTCATTCTTGCTTCCCATCACCACTTTGGAAATAAGCTAACTGCATTCAAATCTTTGATTCAGGTTCTACCTTGAGCTTGGGGTGTGTACAGGGTGTATGATCATGGGCTAAAATAAAGTCATACTTTATAAGACTTTTGTTCAACAAAAATTAAAAACAGTAAAATTGTTCTACTCAGAAATATTTTGTCACCTACATTTTACTAATGTTTCTTTTTAATTATTCTGGGAACTCCTTTACCAACATGACTGGTTAGCTTGCTGCATCTTGATAAATTTCACTCATTATTACATAAGGTATAATAACATCTATTCAGACCACGTGATTAACCACAAACAAAATGAGCTGTATTGACGCACTTTAGTCAACTGGCTTGCTGGTTAAATTGCCTTTCAGATCTAAGAGAAAGGACAAATTAGCATGAGGATCTCTCTTCTTATTTCTCTTCTCTAGTAGTTTTTCTCATTTGTAGCTGTGCTGTATTTAAACCTTTAAGGATTAAGATAACCCTACTTTTCAGGATCTTCATATTTCTTTGATACTCTGTAGTTCATGAGACACTGCAGTTCCGCTGGTATATTTATCCATCTTCTTATATGTATGTCAACTAGGCTTAGAACTGCAAATTTCTTCATGGAAACTACATCCCCCAGAGTCCGTTTTGACTTCTATTACTCGTTTTATTTTTCACACACGGTTATTTTTTGACACTTAGAATTTTTTTTCTGAGGTTGCTGAAGAAGAGTGTCAGTATAAACTTGGAATAAAGTATTATTACAGAAAAGGATTAAAGAGGCAACTGCCCATCTCACTTATTAGGCTAGATCTTGGAATTTTGATCTCTCTGTATAAGCTAAGTGTAGGCCTAAGTCGTTTACCTGCATTATCACATTTCATCTTTGCTTTATTTTATGAATGCACAATAAAATTATGTGTCTCTATATTATACAGCGAATAAAAAAAAGATCCTCGAATAAATACCCTTTCCCCCATTATATAGGTAATATTTATTGAGGACTTATTGTAAGTTAGGCACAATGTGTAACAAACAAGACTATAACAAAACAATTTGTTTTAGGGAATGTGTTAGACATAGAGGAAAATGGGATGAAAGTCTTCACATTCTTGCGTATTTAAGAACCGTGTAACTCTAGATTCAGTTCATTCCTTACCAACCCCACTATTACTATTCCAGGACACCATCACCTCCCACTTCCTTTACTGATCCAGTAAGTTAAGCAGAGTGAGACCTTCATGCTTTAACTCTTAAATTAATTCTCCAACCTGCAGTCAAAGGGTCTTCATCAAGCATGTGCACACACACACACACACACAAAATTATGTTAGTCCCCTGAAAATGTGCAGTGACTTCCATTTATGACTGTGTTTGGAATAAAATCAGATTTTTTCAACATGGTTGTTCATAAGGACTTCATAAATCTAGATTTTGTCTATGCTTCAAAATAATGTATCAACATTCTTACTCCCAAACTCCACCTTCAATCATAGTGAACTTATTCAACTTCCTTGTTTCATGCTCTGCCAGATCCTACATTTTGGCACATACGTATCTCGCAGTGCACTGTGAAGTCCATTAGAATAGGGATTAGGAGTATTCCTAAAGCAATGTACCACAATTCCCACCACATATTAGATAACCAGTGAACATTCGTTGTCTTGGAGCATAAATGACTAACTTCTAAACTTTCCCTCATTACTTCCTTGTTCATCTTTCAGATTTCAGTTTATATGTCATTACTTTTAGAAACTCTTAAATCATTTGACCTAGAAAGGATTACACATACTTACAAGGGCTTTGTATTTAAGAAAACTAATAATATTACTTTAGTTATTATTCATCTTTCCATGTGAGATATATATATATACATAATACGTATGCATACATATATATATATATATATATATATATATATTTGCTACTTGGATATTAACTGAAAATATCAACTGTTAACCTCAGTGTCAATATGTAAATACAGGATAGGATGGTTAGACATATAGATCCAGGCTAATGCATCCCTTGTCTAAAAGGGGTGACTGCTCTCAGACCCAGTAGGCCAATGTCACATGAATATTTGTCAAATATTGTCACATCTTCCAGCTTTTCAAAAAAGTCTAGAAATGCAGACTTGCCTCTTAAATATCAATTCTAAAATGTTGACAACTTATTTTAAATTTTAAATAATTTTTAGGCATGTTTCCCAGTTTATAACTTTCATCAACAAATGAAAGTTATAAACTGGGAAACATGCCTAAAAATCTACTATGCAGATGTCTAGATGTTCCCTCACATTTAATCCCCGTTGTTCCCTCATGTAGCATGTAAAATATATTCTAGCATTTTAAAAAAATCTCTTTTCCTCCCGGTAGACTGAATAGATTGTAAGTTCTGTGAAGTCAGGGATATATATATATATATACACACACACATATATATACACCTTGCAAATTTAATTGTAAATGTTGTTCTACATTACTAAAATATTATAAATATTAGAAAATGCAAATCAGTAAAATACAGTTACAAATTTTAAAAATATTTATTTATTTATTTATTTTTTGAGATGGAGTTTCCCCCTTGTCTCCCAGGCTACAGGGAAATGGCGTGATCTCAGCTCCCTGCAACCTCCACCTCCCAGGTTCAAGTGATTCTCCTGCCTCAGCCTCCTGAGTAGCTGGGATTACAGGCACCTGCCACCATGCCCAGCTAATTTTTGTATATTTGGTAGAGACAGGGTTTTACCATGTCAGCTAGGCTGGTCTCAAACTCCTGACCTAATTATCTGACTCTGTTGCTTTATACACTAATAAGTGTTCCTTCCAAACCCGCATTCCAGTTCTTGGTTCCTTTTGGTTAAACTACTGTGAAGAAAGAAATTCACCCTTTTATTCCATGAAGTGTCCTCATATCTCTAGTTTTATACTAAGAGGAATTATTTATATGTTCAGTTCTAATCGGTGAAACATTCTTTCTTGAAAAAGATTTTGAGAGTCTGTTTTTTCTTACCTTATATTACAGAGCATATGCTGAGAAGAAAGAAATAGACTTAATGTATTCCTCCTACACATAGAAAAAGATCTGAAATGGGAAATCAAACAATAGCAGGCATTTTTCAGAGCATATAGAAAGGAGGTCTACCTACATTCATAAAACTGAGTGATTAAATTTTACTAAGACAATTTTGAGTCGTGGCTTAGAATAACCTGATTCAAGGGCATGAATACATATCCAACCCCAAGTAGACCCGAACTGATGACTACAGTAGACAAGCTATGCAAAAACTGAAAAACCATCAACTTTACAAAATCTTGAATCATGAAGCTAATATATATCTATATATTTCAGCTGAAACTCACTAATATAATTGTAAATAAAATATTTTGTCTGCTCAACAGTGTCTTTTGGGTATAATCGAACTGTTGAGCAAATTTGAGTGTATACTTTCAAATAATCATGAAAGCATATACTGTAAACCATTATCTGTGTCCACAGAGACTCCTACCCTTCAAAATGTTTCAAGAAATTGGTCCTGGTCTGTTAAAAGCAAAGGCTAATTCATACCTCCTTATAAACTGGATAAAAGTAAAACCATTCTGCGCTATGGGAAAGCAAAGAAAAATATTATTCAGTAAAATCATCTGGGGAATTTAACACGGGCAGTAACCCCTGTAATTACTTTTATGATTTTTGGATAGGAAACCATAGGTAACTTTGCTATTATTACGTCTGTTCCTGGCTAGTTTTAAAAAGTTCAAAACTTCTGGATTATATTTTATTGGAAAGGCAATATAGTTTCAATAGCAATAACTACTATTAATAATAATACTTTCTCTGGAGGTTGATATAGAAACATAATAACAAAAGCAATACAACACACTTTGATGTATTTTATTCCCATCAGAGTTTCTTGTACCAACTATAAAAAGCTGATATTGAAGAGTTTGGGATTTATTTGCTAATTTTTGTATTCTGTAATGATGCCACTGTCTTTGAATGCAATAATTTCTCATTTATTCATTTAGATAAGAATAGATCTCTAACAATAACAGCTCTCTGACCATATTGACCCAGCAGGGAATTTTACAGGCAAAAGTACAAAGTTTGTTTTCAAAATCTCTTTTATTTCAAAATTGAAGATATTAAATTCTCTTTTAAGGAATGTATTAAAACATCACTGCAATATTAATGTAATCTGGAAATATTTAAGACAATAGTTTTAATATATGCCTTTAAATTTATAAAAAAGTAGTTATATGAGTGTTAAAATGGATAGGGAAGAAGCTGGGCAACTCAATTTTACCTGACAGTGTTTATTTAAGTGTACACATCAGCTTCATCGCAGTGCAAAAATCTGCTTCTTCAAAACTGGTCATCTGAATACAGCAGGCTGCCTCTTTCTATTGTAAGTAGCCATTCCCACTTGAGAATTGCTGTTTTACACTATCCCACTAGATTTTTCATATAGATATAAAGAATACGAGGAATGTGTAATGGTACTACCCATTTCATTCTGCATTATGCAATTACTTGAGTTTATGTACATTTACACAATAGAAACATTTGAAACATTTTGATGTTGATGGCAATATAATCATAACTAACTAAATACATTGAAGATTTAAAAAATCAATTTAACAATTCCACTCAGCTACTGTAGTAACATATAGCCATTTCAAAACTTCAGTCTTCCATCATCTTTGATCAACCCGACAATTGTCTCATTCTCAGATGGTGACATTAATGTTCACTTCTCAGAGAAAATAAGACACTAGATATAAATGGAAGCATTTTTTTTCCACCAAACTTACGCATTTTCCTGAATCCTCTCTCTCTCTCTAGTTTCTAAACCTAATCTCTCCAGCTGGGTTATGTTTTTCATATATTCCTGTTTCTTCAGCAGTGGGATGTCCCTTTTGTATTATCAACTTTCTTCTACCTCTCCTTCCTAATTAGATTCTTCCCATAAAAATTTAATACACTACACAAGTCTTTTCCTCCTCAAAAATACATTGAACATAGAGTCCTTTCTTTCTACTATTCATTTTTCTCTGTTCTTTCTTATAGGTAGACTTATTGAAAAACTTGTCTTTATTCTATTGCTCCCTAATTCTGCTTACTCTTCAACACAGCACGTTTTAGCCACTTCCCCTAAAATAACCTAAAAATGTCTTGCCAATTATCCTGGTGAAAAATTGAATGAACATTTGATCCAACTTAGCACTGTACATTACTAGAGTCTGTTTACCATGTCCTCAGACTTCAAGCATTCTCATCCCTTGCAGCAGCTCATGATATCAAATATTCCTAGTTTGATCAAAAGTCAGTTCTGGTCTCCTTGGCTGTCTCTCCTTTCTTTCTTTTTCATATTTAACCGTTTGGGGACCCTTATTTTCTTTCTCCTAGGATTTGTTTTACAAGAGAGCTCATCCAACACCATGCTTCCAGTTACCAACCATAGCAAAAGATGACTGTCAGCCCCATCTCTCCGATGTACATTGTTCTTCTGAGCTGCATATCCTCACACATCACTGTTATCTGGACATTTCATGTAAATATCCAGCAAGTACCTAAAATAGAGTTGTTCACAGTATCTTTCTTTAACATTGGTTTGTTTTGTGTGTATATGTGTCTTTTCTCAAAAAATGACACAATCTGCCATGTTTTTAAGGCAAAAGATTGAAAATCTACATGACTCTCATGTTTTGACTCACTTATTCAGAACAAATTGTTTTAAAGGTACAATTATTTATATGTCTAGAATATATGTTCAAGCCATATACTTTCCCACCATTTTCCATTTTGTTGAACTTTACTACCAGTATCACTTTCTCACTCAGTGAAATTACCCTGTCTCCCAGTTACTTTCCTCTGTTTTAGTTTAAGATTCTCCAATCCACTCATGTATTAGTCCATTTTCACACTGCTGATACAAACATACCCGAGACTGGGAAGAAAAAGACACTTAATGGACTTATAGTTCCACGTGGCTGGGAAGGCCTCACAATCATGGCAGAAGGAAGGAGGAGCAAGTCACATCTTACGTGGATGGCAGCAGGCAAAGAGAGAAAGCTTGTGCAGGGAAACTCCCATTTTAAAAAAACCATCAGATCTCATGAGACTTACTCACTATCATGAGAACAGCATGGGAAAGACCTGCCCCTGGTTTTTCCCATGACACGTGGGAATTGTGAGAGTTACAATCCAAGATGAGATTTGGGTGGGGACACAGACAAACCATATCAACTCACAAGAGTCAGCCAAGTAAGTTTACAGTCCTGCATTTCTTAGTTAGCCATTTAGCATTATCTAGCTTTCCTTCGGGCATCCACTTCGACAAGTATTTATTGAGTACCTACTACATATGCCAGCCATTATTCTGTATGATAATCATGTGGCAATGAACAAAATAAGGTACATTACATTGGGTCACCATGCAATAGACTATTATGAGTACAGTATTGAAGCTTAGAATAAAAGGATGAATAGATGTCAGCAAAGACATGAAGACAGAAGAGGGATTTGGGATGCAGAAAAAGTAAATATGAAGTCTCTTAGAAGAGAAGGGCCTCATTGAAGTGAGCTGAGATTGTGCCACTGTACTCCAGCCTGGGCAACAGACCAAGACTCTGTCTCAAAATATTAATAATTAAATAAACATAAATAAATAAATAATAAAAAATAAGAGAAAGACCCCATTGATTTTGGAAGTTGAAAGATTACTATGGCTTCCACACAATATGTATAGTAAATGGAAAGATATAACATAGGGAGACAGGGCCCAAATTGGCTTTCATAATTTAAGTAAAAATACTGGACTACTTTTAGAAATAAACTATTACCCATATATATATATATATATATATATATATGGATAAAATACATAAATATTTTATCCCATAGATTTATGGGATATCTCATAGATGTATGGAAGAGATCATGATGCCATGGGCTACAGTAGTGGCAGACAGATATAGTTTTCATAGAATTCTGAGAGGAGAGCCCAATCTCTTGCCATCACCTCACTCTCTCTTCAATCAATTTATCTTGCAATCATCTAAAACTACCTAAAATTTCCCTTCACTTTTCACATTCCCTCTATTTGGTGGATGCTCAAAACTATTGACTTAAATCACAGTTTCTCTGGGAAACACCCTCTTTGCTTTCATAACATCTTGTACTTACTGTTAGATAGCACTAGTCGCACTTCAGGGCAATTGCCCATAGAGCCCTCCACTTTATAGTAAGCTCTACACAGGTGTACTCGGGGTCATGCTTAACCTGTTGTACCTGGTATCTCTAGCATCTAATAGACTCCCCAGGATATGGTAGATGTTCAATAATATTTGTTGTGTGGCAGTAAAAGAAAATTTTCTCCTCTACTCTTTTGTTTATTTAATTAATATTTTTTTTAGGGATGGGGGTATTGCTATACCTCCCGGGCTGGAGTGCATTGGAATTATCATAGCTCACTGCAGTCTTCAACTTCTGAACTCAAGTGATCCTCCTTCCTCAGTCTCCTGAGTAGCTGGAACTACCAGTGTGTGCCACCATGGCTGCTTAATTTTTTTTTATTTTTTGTGGAGAAGAGTTATTGCTGTACTGCCCAGCCTGGTCTCTAACTCTTGGGCTCACGCAATCCTCTCACCTAGGCCTCTGAAAATGTTGGGATTACAGGCGTGGGCCACTGTGCCTGACATCTTTTATTTTTAATAAACATACCAACTCACCTTTTTGATTTAACAGCATTTAATTTTTTTCTCCAGTTGCACTTTATCTGAAACTGTAGATTATTGTTTTTTCTTTTCTTTTACTAATATTTGTGAGACTTAAATTGAGAACAGGTATCTTAATGGCAAAAGCTGATTTCAATTTAGCTCCTGAAGTAGATGGAATTAATGTACACCAAAAGTAAATTAGAGGTGATTCACATTAAAAAGAAGTATTATTAGTTGTAGTCACCCTACTGTGTAATAGAACACAAGAACCTGAAGTCCAAGAAGGAAGAATAAAAGAAAAGAAAAAAAAAATTGAAGTAATGAATCCTATATCAAACACTATACTATCTGTCGTGAAAAATAAGTAAGTATACATCACAACCTTTGCTCTCAGATTGTATTCTCCTTAGGGAACTAAAGGACAGAGTAGATAGTAAATAAAAGATGAGTATATAAGCAGACCCTGTATTAAACACTACTCTGGTGAAAACATACAATCAAAGGATATGCATAAAGAAGGAAGAACTATTTTCATTGCAGGCAGAGAAGACCTTATTTAAATTTTAATGTTCACCATAGTCTTCCTAATTGGGACAGAAGGAAAATGGAAGGTGAGAGAGAGGTAAACTGTGGTTTAGGGACAAAAAAAATGTAATTGAATTATCATGTGTCTGAAGAATATTTCAAAAGCAATCGATATTGGCTGGAGTGAAATGGACATTTTGAGAATGCATCAAAATATGTCTTAAAAATGTGAAAAGCCAATATTATAATGAATCTGATAAAAAGAACACTTTAGGTTTTAGACTGAAAGCAACAAAGTGCCATTTAAGTTTCATCGTCAGTGGCATATTTTTTTTTTCTGCCGGCAGATGGTTAGATACCTGTTGGACTACCAAAGATAGAAAAAAATACTCAGCCTGAATCATAGAAATGGAAAGGAAAAATTACAAAACTGAGGAGATTTTATGATGAAGGTATTTGGCCAAATTTAATTCAATCAAGAAAATGAATTGAAACTATATTGAACATTTGGCTTCCACATCCAAAGCTTTAGGAATTTGGCATCTTTTATCTTCAATTATCTGGGAGGAGAAAAAAAAAACTCATTCTAGGTTTAGAAATAATGCCATGAACAAAAAAAGCAACATTTAAAATATATTTTTCTTTTTTTGAGAATTATTTTATTTTTGCACTTGGTCTATTTTTTTTAGGTTAGCATTTGGGATAATTCATTTACTTTTTTTGTTAATGTTCGAATAGTTTATTTTCAAAATTATATATGCTCATCATAAACTTTTCAAAGAACATAGAAAAGCATAAAGAAGAAAGACAAACACAACCTAACAAAATGTGAAAATAATATCCAAAATCATAATGCTCATAAGTAATTCAGAAAAAATTAAATAACATTTTTTCTAGACTGCTCTGATGCACATATGCAGATAGATGGTTGGAAAAATCTAATTAAAACAAGACTATTTTAACCATGCTTTTACTGGTTTTATTTTTGTAAAAAATTGTAGTGAATACACACACGAAAATTTGTAATTTGACTATTTTAAGTGTAAAGTTCAGTGACATACTTTCACGTTGCTGTGCAAATGGTATTTTTAATACTATAAAAAACAATGCACATGCATGCTTAAGAATAAATAATATAATTATATGAAGCAACTACAATTGCTACTGCTCCTTTCCTCTCACTTCTTAGCCTTCTTCCCATTTTCCCCAATATTTAAGAAGTTGCATCTCAGTATCTTGTGGTGGTTCGTTAACATTATAACAGTAAATGCTATATTTAAAAATTTCTATTAATTCTTTATAAATTATGAAATTACAATGACAAAAACATGAAAATCTTACCACTTTTAGTTTTTCTCTAAAGGAAATTGCTCCCAAATTTTGTGAATTCATTTCCCCTGTACGTGTGTGCATGCTTGTGTGATTTTGTTTTTACGTTTAATATTTATGTATTTACCCTTTATTCTCTTGGTTTTCATTTAGCTAATACTTTAAAATAACTCCATTATTTTCTACAAGAAAGTTAACAGTAATCATTCTTCCCTTAGTAGACAAAAAAGTTGTTTGCAACTTTTTATTTAAAAAGATATGTATGGATGTATACAAAATGATATTCTCGCATGTACACCATTATTAGCACATCTTTCTTACATTAAAGGGACAGAGTAATGAAATGGTGAAGATCTTGGAATCTGCAGCCTGGATCCTCTGAATCAGAACTATTTGCCATTGGTAAACTCTGTGAACATAGGTAAGCTGCTTTAACATGTCTGCCATTTCCTCATTCACAAAATGAGGCAATGTTAGGAATTATTTCATGGTATAGTTTTGGAAATCAAATAATTTGTATAAGCAGATTCCTCAGAATAGTTCTGGTTCAGATTAAATGCTTAATAAATATTAGCTATTATTATTATTCCTACCATAGATTTCTCCAATTTCTACAAGGAATTGAGAGATGGAAGAGAAAAATCAATTACAATTTTAAGATTTTTAAAAAGTCATATAAAATGTTTTCACAATTTTTTACCACTGTGCAGTCCCAGATGAATCATGTAATAAAAATGCCATTTTCTTGCACTTTATATCAGAACTGTTTTATTTTTTGCCACACTTATGAAAAAAATGTGAAGATTTTAATCCCAGTTTAAGTTGTAACTTTCTGTTTACCAAGGATTGCAAGCTTTTTATTTTTTATGAGAATTTATAACAATTTTTCTTTACAGATTTTGGAAATCGCTTTTATTTATTGTTGTCTATATTCCTGGGTTTATGAAATTTTTTACAAGTTTTGTTTATTTCTAATTTTTCTTTTAAATATTCGGTGTGTATTTTTCTATTTTATCATTCAGTGATTTTTAACTCAGTTCACTGTGTGTTATCTATATTTGCATTACAATGTTAAGGTTTGTGTCTCCCTAATGAGTTTGATCTTGCTAATTGCTTACCCTAATCATGATCAACTGCTTTCTCTTTCTGCATCCATTTGAAAAGTGGAGCAACCATGTAGCTTCAAAATTTTAATGTTGCTTTAAATAAGAATGTGATAGCTACAACTAGCAACCATGATGCAGGAGGTGTGAGGAAATGCCACAAAATCAGGGATTTT
The DNA here is from genome assembly GCF_000001405.40 of Homo sapiens. Lineage (NCBI taxonomy): Eukaryota > Metazoa > Chordata > Mammalia > Primates > Hominidae > Homo > Homo sapiens. The sequence continues at coordinate 27,342,704 of NC_000005.10, read as the reverse complement.
CTGAAATTGGCTTCTGAAACAATTCTAGAAACTGATCCTCCAGATATTTAATTTTGTGATATAAATATATTACTAAAATATTTAGAAGAGTAAAGGTTGCATTTACAATTATTCAAAATAATCAAACAAAATAGTTTCTCTTAAAATTTATTTAAAAATTCTGCTAAAAATACCGATATTTAAAAATTCTTTGAGTTTCTGATAAGTTCTATATCCTTTTTTTAAAAAATTCTTCTGAAGTTTATTGGCTGATGTGAGAGGAGAGCCTAACTACATTCTTTTTCTGAATGTATTGTCAACTTCCTAAGCAAAGCTGAATGCATAACTCAAGTTTTCTGTGCAAATTTGAGATCTCACCCTTGATGTAGAAAATTTCATACATAATAAATATATATTTTGTCTTTTTACAATGTTATATGTCCTATATTTCTAGCCTTTTTCTAAAATCACAGTTCAATTATAACTTTGTAGTTTATCTTACATCTGCTATGAAAAGATCTTTTTTATCTTTCTCTCTTTTATTTGCCTTTGATAGTCCTCTTGGTCTCTGGAGTCAGAAAGCTTCATTAAGAATATAGTTTGAATACTCACTAGTTTTTTTATGGAGTCCAGTTTAATAGAACATTACATATAAATACATAATTTTATTTTTTAAAATATATAATAAAACATTATGCATGTTTATATGTTATAAATATAACATTATATTGTAAACATATAACGTGTTTTACAATATAATTTACAAATTATAGAACATGTAACATATGTTTTATAACATTTTTTAAATATGGCCATTCTTGCAGGAGTAAGGTGGTATCTCATTGTAATTTTAATTTGCACTTCCCTGATGATTAGTGATTTTGACCATTTTTTCATATGTATGTTAGCTGTTTGTATATCTTCTTTTGAGGAATGTCTGTTCACATCTTTTGCCAACTTTTTGATGAAATTATTTGAGTTTTTCCTGCTGTTCTGTTTGAGTTCCTTGCAGATTCCAGATACTAGTCCTTTGTCAGAGGCATAGTTTGCAAATGTTTTCTCCCACTCTGTGGGTTGTCTGTTTATTCTACTGATTATTTCTTTTGCTGTGCAGAAGCTTTTTAGTTTAATTAGGTCTCACTCATTTTTGTTTTTGTTGCATTTGCTTTTGGAGTCTTGATCATAAATTCTTTGCATTGGCCAATGTCCAAAAAGGCTTTTCTGATGTTATATTCTATACTTTTTATGGTTTCAGGTCTTAGATTTAATTATTTGATCCATCTTCAGTTGATTTTTGTATAAGGTAAGAGATAGGAATCCACTTTCATTGTTTTACAAGTGACTTGTCAGGTTTTCTTCAGCATAATTTTCTAAAGTAGGGTGTCCTTTCCACAATTTATGTTTTTGTATACTTTGTTGAAGAGCAGTTGGCTGTAAGTATTTGGCTTTATTGCTAGGTTCTTTATTCTGTTCCGTTGGACTAAGTGCCTGATTTTATACCAGTACCATGCTGTTTTAGTTAACTATAGCCTTGTAGTACCATTTGAAGTCTGGTAATGTGATGCCTCCAGATTTGTTCTTTTTGCTTAGAATTGCTTTGACCATGTGGGTGCTTTTTTGTTCCCACACAAATTTTAAGACTGTTTTTTCTAGTTCTATGAAAAATGATGATGATGTTTTAATGAGAATTTCATTGAATGTGTAGATTGCTTTTGGAAGTATAGTCATTTTTACAATATTGATTCTTCCTATCCATGAGACCATGAGAGGGGGTTATTTTTCCATTTGTTTGTGTAATCTATGATTTTTTTTTCAGCAGTGTTTTGTAGTTTTCCTTGAAGAGATATCTCACCTTCTTGGTTAGGTATATTTCTATATTCCTAGGTATTTCTCTTTTTTTTTTTTTTTTGCAGCTGTTGCAAAAAAGATTGAGTTATTAACTTGTTTCTCAGCTTGGTTGTTATTGGTGTATAGGTTGATTTTTTAACCTGAGTCTTTAGTGATTTCCTTTATCAAATCTAGGAAGTTTTTGGATGAGTCTTAGGATATTCTAGCTATACAATCATATTGTCAGTAAACAGTGATAGTTTGACTTACTCTTTCCCAATTTTTTTGCACTTTATTTCTTTCTCTTGCCTGATTGCTGTGGCTGCAACTTCTAGTACTATGTTAAATAGAAGTGCTGAAAGTGGGCATCCTTATCTTCTTCCAATTCTCAGTGGGAATGCTATCAACTTTTCCCCATTCAGTATGATTTTGGCTGTGAATTTTTCATAGATGACTTTTATTATTTTGAGGTAAGCCCCTTCTTTACCTAGTTTCTTGAGGGGTTTTATCATAAAGGGCTGCTAGATTTTATCAAATGCTTTTCCTGCATCTATTGAGATGATCATGTGGTTTTTGTTTTAATTCCGTTTATGTGATGTATCATATTTATTGACTTGCATGTGTTAAACCATCCCTGCATCTCTAGGATGAACCCACTTGATCATGGTGTATTATCCTTTTGATGAGTTGTTGGATTATTTAGCTAGTATGTTGTTGAGGATTTTTGCATCTATGTTCATCAGAGATATTGTTCTGTAGTTTTCTTTTTTTGTTATCTCCTTTCCTGGTTTTGGTATTAGGGTGATACTGGCTTCATAGAATGATTTGGGGAGAACTTGTTTTTTACTCTGTCTTTTGGAATAGTTTCAGTAGAATAGTTACCAATTATTCTTTGAATATCTGGCAGAATTCAGTTGTGAATTCTGGTTTTGATATTAGGGTGATACTGGCTTCATAGAATGATTTGCAGAGGATTTGTTTTAACTGTTTTTTGGGATAGTTTCAGTAGAATAGTTACCAATTCTTCTTTGAATATCTGGCAGAATTCAACCGTGAATCCATCTGGTCTTGTGCTATTTTTGTTGGCATTTTTTAAGTTACTGATTCAGTTTTGCTGCTTGTTATTTGTTTGTTAAGGGTGTATATTCCTTCCTGATTTAATCTAGTAAGGTTGTATGTTTCCAGGAATTTATCAATTTCCTCTCTGTTTTCTAGTTTGTGTGTGTAAAGGTGTTTATAGTAGTCTTGAATGATCTTTTGTATTTCTGCAGTATTGGTTGTAATGTCTCCAGTTTCATTTCTAATTTAGCTTATTTGAATTTTCTGTCTTCTTTTCTTGGTTAATCAAACTAATAGTTTGTCAATTTTGTTTATCTTTTCAAATAACCAACTTTTTGTTTTATTTAAGTTTTGTATTTTTGCTTCAATTTGATTAAGTTCTGTTCTAATCATTATTTCTTTTATTCTGCTGGCTTTGAGTTTAGTTTGTTTCTGTTTCTCTGGTTCTTTAAGGTATAACAGTTTATCAATTTGTGCCCTTTCAGATTTTTTGATGCTATAAACTTTCCTCTTAGCACTGCTTTTGCTGTATCCCAGAGGTTTCGATAACCTGTGTCAATATTATCATTGATCTCAAATTATTTTAAAACTTTCATCGTAATTTCTTTGTTAACCCAAAATAATTCAAGATCAGATTATTTAATTTCCATGTATTTGTTAGTTTTAAGAGTTCCTTTTGAAGTTGATTTCCAGTTTTATTCCACTGTGGTCTGAGAAGCTGTTTGATATGCTTTTTCTCTTAAGTTTACTGAGATGTGTTTTGTGGCTTATCATACAGTCTACCTTAGATAATATTCCATGTGCTGATAAGAAGCATGTAAATTCTGCATTATGTGGAAAGAATTTTCTGTAAACATCTGTTACGTCCATTTGTGCTACAGTATAGTTTAAGTCCATTATTCCTTTGTTGACTTTGTCTTGATAATCTGCCTAGGTGAAGATTTCACCAGTTCCTGAAGAACTCTGTGCACAAAACTCAATTAATTGTCTCTTTCTTCATACTTGTTATTGCTGTTTTTCCTTTTGTGAAATGACATCCCAACCCATCAAACTTCCCAAGTTACAGACCTTCAATTCATTACTGACTGATTTTCTCCTCACCTAATGAATTTTTAAAACCTATTCCTTTAATTGAGAAAAGTTAAGAAGAGGTAACAATTCTAACCACTAACTCTTTGTTCAGTTAATGATCATATAACCCAACCTGCTACTGGAGCCCTATCTTCAAATTGCCAACTCTAAAGCATTTTTCAAGTTGATCTCCGTATGATATCTCCAAGGCACCAATATTCTAGAAATTCATATCCAGCCACTGTAGTCACTTAACATATTTCCATCACCCTACAACTAGACTACACATGTCACAAATGGATTGATTATGCGGCCCTTTGTGTTCTCATCCTCTATAAAATAACTCTACTTTTATTAATTACTAATTATCCACTCATTCCCCACTGGAAAGTGAGTGATGTGTGTGTGTGTGTGTGTGTGTGTGTGTGTGTGTGAGAGAGAGAGAGAGAGAGAGAGAGGAAAACAACACTCAGTGCAGGGGAAGTTTTGTCTTGACGATGCTTATGTTCCTAGCACCTTCTCAATATCTAAAATATAACCATACTCTGGATTATCTGTAGTCTACTTGGTACCATCACCTGGGGCCATCACCAGATCTTTTTAAGTCACTTTACATTAAAACAAGAAAATTCCATTTCCCAGAATTTCTATCCCTGTATTTTCAGGATGGAATTTGGCAATGAGAAAAGAAAGTCATGGGAAATTGGAAAGATAAACAAGAAGTAAAGCTATTATTTTCTGAGGTAGTTTCAGCTAGGTATAAGGACTTATTGAAATTTCAGAGACTTCTTTGGGTATATTTGAGCACCTTTCATTTGGTGCTGCAGACTGAAATACTTAATGGGAGTTTTCTAAAAAATTCTTGAGAATTTTATTATTTTCTGAAAAGCACTAATTCAGGCTGAGATTTTCAGAGTCTAGTTCCATGACCTGGAGGCTGCTGCTTCCATGATTTTTCTAATCCATGCCTTCATATATTTTCTTCATACATGATTCCTTTAAGCTATGCTTCTTAAATTCTTGTAAAATTTTCAGTAACCAGTTTCTCTTTACTATAAAATAAGTAGAGGGCTCAATTATCTTCATTGAGCATAGGCTGACAAATTATTTCTCAAAAAATACTTTTACATTAACTAAATTATCCTGATCCTGTCAAATGTTTGAACTTATTATTGGCATTGGCGTATGATTAACTCAGAGATGGTAAGGATTTTTTAGATATGTATGCATGTGTATGTGGCTAGATAAAAATAAAGGACAGGTTAAAAATCTTTAAATATTATTCTGATTGGGCACTCAAAACCAAAGATAAAATTTACTTTAGTCCATGGATAAATTGAAACATTGATGAATTTGCATAAGAAATTTTATCCAAAAATTTCTGCCATTTCCTGCTCAGACACTGAAACTCCATAATTCAGATTGAATCTAATATTTTACTTTATTTAAGTTTCTGGGATACATGTGCAGGTTTGTTATATAGGTAAACATGTGCCATGGTGGTTTGCTGCACCTGTCAACACATCACCTAGGAATTAAGCTGAGCATGCATTAGCTCCTTTTCCTAATGGTCTCCCCACCTCCCGCCCTCCCCTGAGAGGTCCTAGTGTGTGTTTATCCCCTCCCTATGTCCATGTGCTCTCATAGTTTCAGCTCCCACTTATAAGTGAGAATATGCAGTGTTTGATTTTGTGTTCCTGTGTTAGTTTTCTGAGGATAATAGCTTCCAGCTCTATCCATGTCCCTGCAAAAAGCATAATCTCCTTCCTTTTCATGGCTGCATAGTATTCCATGGTGTATATGTACCACATTTTCTTTGTTCAGTCTATTGTTGATAGGCATTTGGGTTGATTCCATGTTTTTGCTCTTGTGAACAGTGTTGCAATGAACATACTTGTGCATATATCTTTATAATAGAATGATTTCTATTTATTTGGGTATATACCCAGTAATGGGATTGCTGGGTAAACGGTATTTCTGGTCCTGGGTCTTTGAGGAATCACCACATTTTCTTCCACAATGGTTGAACTAACTTAAATTCCCACCAACAGTCTAAAGCATTAGATTAAATCTAATTTTATACAACAGTTTTCATTAAGAATAAACATGCAATACATAGCATATAACAAAGTGTTATGAAATTATATACTGTTTTCACATTGTATGAAGTTTTATATTGTGACAATTTCAATTTCACTATCACTGCCATAATTTGGAGGACAATTATTTATTTATATTTACTATTAATGATTCACCTTTAGACACTGTTAGACATGGAAGGCAGAATAATGCTTTTTCTCACCTCCCGAAATGTTCACATCTTAAAATCTAGAACCAGTAAATGTGTTAGTCTCATATCAAAAGAGAATTAAGCTTGAAGGTAGAATTAAGATTGTTAATCAGCTGACCTTTACATTCGGTTGTGTCTTACATTATCTAGGTCGTACCAATGTAATCACAGGGATCCTTATAAATGCATAAGGCTATAGATAACTTTGAGAGAGTCAGAGGCATGGCAGCATGAGAAGGACACTGCCTGGCTTTTGACTTTGAAGATGAGGGATGGGACCACAAGCAACAAAATGTCATTGGCCCTTAGAATGTGGAAGATGAACAAAAGATTCTTCTCTAGAGCCTCCAGAGGAAATCCAGCCCTCTTTAGACATTAAATTTAGCCCAGCTAGGCCCATTTTAGATGTCTGACCTCCAAAACATTTAGATAGTCAATTTCTATTGTTTGTTATAACCTGTTACAGTAACAATAAAAAACCAATAAACTAAGAGTCATTCAGAGTGCATAAAACCATATACATGAGCCACCAATAACATTTAGGTGCTTTTAAAGCCATGAAGTATTTAAGACACATAAAATATAGCCAATACAGATTAATAAAAGGCATCATCAAATATAGCACATGGCCTCTTGGGTTAATAATTTCTCCTAATGTGCATAGATGGTTAAAATGATACACTACTGTCTCATATTGAATAATGAAGTTGGTTTTAGTGTGAGTAGAAAAAAACATTTCATTTCAAAATTGTATAATTTTAAACATATATTTTTAGAAAAATGAATAACTGTCACTTTTTGAAAATAATGTATATCTGAAAATTAAATAATCACACACACTAATTAAAAAAATTAATTTCTTCATTATGTGCCTGAAATTAATGTATCTTATTATTAAAGCTGATATGTATTTTACAGTTTTTGAGATAATATCATTAAATGTCCATTTTACACATGGTGCATTTGTGTGTACACACATATGTGTGTATGACCAAAAGGAGTAATATTTTTGGAACTAATCTATGTCCATTACCCAACTTTTTGGCACATAGCCGAATTTGTAAATAGAGAAAAAATATATGAATGAAATAAACAGTGTATGATTATAAGCACTTTCAGTCTAAAAACACAATGTTGCAGAAAAAAATACCACACAGTTGCATTATAAGAGAAATGTTCCACTATAGCAGTATTAGTATTTCAGAGGCATGTTCAATTCATTAGACCAGGACAGTAATAATAAAAATAAATATATATAACTAAATACATAGAAATGGCACTCTAAACTTAATAGGAGATGCTTTCATAAACTTTATCTTATAAAATTCTCATTAACCAATTTACACGATCTTCGAAAAGCCATGTGGCAGTGAACTTACTGAAAGCAAAGAATCTAGTCTGTATACTAATCTTTACATATCAGCTTTTATTATTGTTGCTGTAACTCATATCTATTATTACTAAACAACATCAATTAAATACATAGATTATTTGCCATATGCAATTTTGTAAAAGAAGGCAAATCAGAATCATTAAATGTAACTTCAAAGTTCTAAAATCACGTATTTCCTAATTTAATGAAACCTAGAAATTTCTTCCTTTCTTAGGTATGATTTTTGCCATCTCATGTATTTCTTAAAAATACCACCTCATGAACAAATTTTATTTTCAGCACTCTTGAAACTGTTTTGAACAAAATATCATCACTCTAATCTGAGGTCTATTTACCACTTCATCACAGCTCTCACCAGTGTCCCCTCTCAGACTCTGCACTTCCTCCTCGGGAATGTCTACTGGGAACCTAAATTCATGATATTCACATTCACCTCTTACATTTTGTCTACTAAATCACTTATACATCAATTGTATGTATTCTTAATTTGAACTTGCTTAGATAGTATTTTTACTAACACTATTTATAATTATAGTTTTTCTTATATCATTATATTTAGTCACAACAATATCTACCAATTCTTTTAATTCTTTCTTGTTTCTCCTAGGAGATTCTTCCCCTGACACTGGAGATCCTTCCCTGATAGTCTTCCTTAAAACTGTTTAGGAGAATTAGTCATTGCTTTAATTTATGACTCTGAATATCTTGGATTGAAAGCAACATAGGCATTTGATTTATTAGAAATTCTTAATAAACTTTAATTTCATGAATAGGTTATGAAATAGTGATTGTAAACATGCCACTAATGCTTTGAGTATTTAAAATTCTAATTTAAAGAGAATTTTATAAGCTTCTTCCTAACTCTGACAAAAATATCACAAAAGCTTTCTCGTACAAAAAAAAAAAAAAAGATGTGTAAGGATTGAGACCAAACCAAGTCAAATTTTCTAGGATAGGTATTTTATCTGACTATCTTTTAAATAACTAAAGCAATATTATCTGTAGTAACAATTTTCCTAATATGTTCTACAGCACAAGATAATTCTTGGGGATCTTGGAGCATAAGCCACAAGCCTACAGGGGGAATAAAAGAATTGAGTGGATTTATCCTTACTAGACAAGATTGAAGGAAATTTAATGAGTAGCTAGGGAGAATCAGCCCTATTTCCATTTTTATTCTATTACCTATTAGCATTTATTTCATATTGAAACTTGCAGAGTAGTTCCACCAAGATTTTCCACTTTATGTTTATGTTTGTTACATCAACTCTTTATAGTTAGTACTAGAAAATATTCAAGTAGAATAAAAACAAACAATATCTACAACAAACTCGAACCCTTAGAAAGTGTTAAATGAATGTCACATTTACCTCAGGGGCAAGACAGATGCAAAAAACAAGGTTTCTATTTTTATATCACTATTGACACACACAAAAAGATATCTCTTAATACCTTCTCTGCTTCTTTACTATCTTTCTTTTCTTTCTGTTTTCCTTCATTCCTCAGTCAAAAACCTACAAATACGGGATTAAAAGAAAGCCAAAAAAAAAATCAAATAGAACAGAATTTTAGGAGGCCAACAGGATCATAACAAGATATGGCAAAGACAGCAAGCAGAATCATGCATCAGAAAGTCCTACCAGAACAATCAAAGCACAGGCATTACATGATGGGATAGTGTGAGTTAAAGGGAAGTGCTTATAAGAAAGAAACTTCTTAAGACTTTGTTTTAGAATAAGACATTATTTACTTTGACATGGAAATCTAAACAGAGCATCTAAGACAGGAGGATAGAATCCATAATTCAATAGTTTTTCCACCCTAAAGCACTGTTTAATTTCATGGATGATTTAAATTTCCTATTTCAAACGTATATTTAATTCCCCTAGAAAGTTACTTGTCTATAATATATCCATGGCTGTTAACATGAACAGATAGAGATCTACAAAGGTTGGTTGCATATGCAATAATTAAAACAGAGGTAATTTTAGTTTACTAAAAGATGGATGATTTCAGTTATGATAACGTTAATATACCTGCAGTTAAGAATGAAGCAACATGTATTTTTGACAATTCTAAGGGCATTTTAATAAGTGTGATTTGCATCATTAGCATCATATTTTTAAAGCTAAAATTGAACAGGAAATTCATAAAACCTTCCTTTTAATAAACACATATAATGTGGTTAACCATATACTCAAAATATATGCCTAATTTTACTTAACTTTTATCTATATATTTCATTTTTATTATGGAATGAGAATATTACAGGTGGGAAGTGAATTAAAATTTTTATTGTTGTATAATAATAATAATTTTGGTTGTACTTTTACCTCATTTTAGGTCCTAGAGAAAAAAATACAAATAGTATTCTATAATAAATAGCAATAATTTGTTTGCAAGAAATATCTTATTTGATTTCTTGTCCTTCATTACCATTTGTTTAGGGAGCTTTTAATTAAACTAAAATATGTGTTAAGAAAAGCACATAAAACTTATATGTGTAGACTGATGTATTTTCATAAAATAAATACACACACTTGTGTCACTATTATCTAGATAAAAAATTAGAATATTACCAGAACCATAGACACTAATGATTCTTTCTCTAAACACTACCTAAAATTCCAATAACAAGCACTCTTCTGATTGCCATCAAAACAGATTAATTTTGCCATTTTATTTATATACATGAAGTCATACAGAGTATACCATTATGTATCTAGCAGTTTTATACAATTCTGTTATGTGAAATTTTTATGGAAAGAATTTTCAAAGTGTTTTTACTAATATATGATATCTCCTGTGTATGATTTCCTGTTGCTCTCCTTCTTCATCCAAAATTATTACTTTCCATCTTTTTAAATTTTAGTCATTCTGGTAGGAGCATTTCACCATGACTAAATTAAAAAAAAAAATTCATGGTGAAATGCTCCCACCAGAATGACTAAAATATAAAGAAGAACTATTTGAGTTATTCATAAAGAAAAAAAAAGGTTTAAATTACTCACAGTTCTACAGGGCTGGGGAGGCCTCAGGAAACTTTTAATCATGGTGGAAGGCAAAGGAGAAGCAAGGCACATCTTGCATGGAAGCAAGAGCGACAGAGAGTGAGGTGGGAAGTGCCACACTTTTAAACAATCAGCTCTCAGGAGAACTCACTATCACAAGAGCAGCATGGGGGAAACTGTCCCCATGATCTAATCATCTCCAGCCAGGTCCCTCTCTCGGCATGTGGGGATTACAATTTGAGATGAAATTTGGATAGGGGCACAGAGACAAACCATATTATTCTCCCACGGCCCTTCCCAATCACATGTAATTTTCACATTTCAAAACACAATTATGCATTCCCAACAGTCCCTTAAAGTCTTAAATCCTTCCAGCCTTAACCCAAAAGTCCAAGTCCAAAGTCTCATCTGAGACAAAGCAAGTCCCTTCTACTTATGAGCCTGTAAAATCAAAAGTATGTTAGTTACTTTCAAGGTACAACGGGAATACAGGCAATGGGTACATGCTTCCATTCTAAATGGGAGAAATTGGCCAAAACAAAGGGGCTACAGACCCCATGCAAGTATGAAATCCAGCAGGGCAGTCATTACATATAAAGCTCCAAAATAATCTCCCTTGACTCCAAGTCTCACATTCAAGGAATGCTGATGCAAGAGGTAGGCTTACAAGGCATTGGGATGCTCCACCCCTGTGGCTCTGGAAGGTACAGCCCTCGTGGCTGCCTTCATGAGCTGGTGTTGAAAGCCTGAGTTTTTTTCCTGGCACTTGGTGCAAGCTGTCAGTGGATATATCATTCTGGGGTCTGGAGGACAGTAGCCCTCTTCTCACAGCTTCACTAGGCAGTGCCCGAGTGGGGATTCTCTGTGGGAGCTCCAACCCCACATTTCCCCCTGTGCATTGCTCTAGGAGAGGTTCTCCATGAGGGCTCCATCCCTGCAGCAGACTACTGTCTGGACATCCAGACATTTTCATACATCCTCTGAAATCTAGGCGAAGGCTCCCAAAGCTCAACTCCTGTCTTCTGTGCATCAGCAGCCCAACACCATGTGGAAGCTGCCAAGGTTTGGGGCTTGAACCCTCTGAAGCAATGGCTCAAGCTGTACCTTGGCCCCTTTCAGTCATGGCTGGAGCTGGAGTGGCTGGGACAAGGGACTCCATGTCTCAAAGCTGCACAGAGCAGCAGGGCCCTGGGCTCAGCCCACAAAACCATTTTTCCCTCCTAGACCTCCAGGGCTATGATGAAGGGGCTACTGTGAAAATGCCTGAAACATCCTGGAGACATTTCCCCATTGTCTTGTCTATTAACATTCGGCTTCTCTTTGCCTATGCAAATTTCTGCAGCTGGTGGCTTGAATTTCTCCTGCAAATTTTTCAAACTTTTATGCTCTGCTTTTCTTTTAAACATAAGTTCCAATTTCAGACCATTTCTTTGTGAATGTGTATGACTATGCTTTCAGAAAAAGCCAGGTTACATCTCCAATGCTTTGCTGCTTAGAAATTTCATCTGCCAGATATCCGAAATTATCTCTCTCAAGTTCAAAGTTCTACAGATCTCTAGGGCAGGGGCAAAATGCTGCCAGCCTCTGTGCTAAAGCATAGCGAGAGTGATCTTTACTCTAGTTTCCAATATGTTCTTCATCTCCATCTGAGACCACCTCTGCCTGGACTTCATTGTCCATATCATTATCAACATTTTGGTCAAATCTATTCAACAAGTCTCTAGGAACTTCCATACTTTCCCACAACTTCCTGAGTTCTTTTAAGCCCTCTAAACTCTTCCAACCTCTGCCTGTTACTCAGGTCTAAAGTAGCTTTCACATTCTCAGATATCTTCATAGCAGTACCTCACTCTCTCAGTACCACTTTTCTGTATTAGTCCATTTGCACACTGCTATAAAGAACTACTTGAGACTAGGAAATTTACAAAGAAATTAGGTTTAATTACCTCACAGTTCTACACGGCTTGTGAGGTCTCCGGAAACTTACAATCATGGCAGTAGGTGAAGGGAAAGCAAGACACGTCTTATGTGGCGGCATGAGAGAGAGACGGAAAACAAGGGGGAATCTGCCACACTTTTAAACCATCAGATCTCATGGGAACTCACTCACTATCACTATAACAGCATGGAGGAAATCGCCCCACGATCCATTCACTTCCCACCAGGTCCCTCGCTTGATACACGGGGATTACAATTCAAGATGTGATTTGGGTGGGGACACAGAGCCAAACCATATCAGTACACAAATGAAGATGAGTGGCCATTTCGTTTTTGATTATTCAAATATTGTGAAGTGTTCATTGAACTTCTTTCCTCCACTATTCTTTTATTGGTTGGTTGTTTTTGCTGTGATTTGAAGAAGTTTTGTTATGTTTTCTGCATATGAAAACCCTGTCGGTTATATGTATATTGAATACTTCTCTCATATTAAAATGTGGATTTTCACTCTCTTGATGATCCCTTTTGTTTAACAAATGGTCTTAATTTAATGTAATTTCTCCTGTTCTATTTCTATATTACAATAGGGACTTTTGTCTCCTATTTTACGAAATATTGACTTACCACACACTTGTAATAGTATTTTTCTATTAGCCTCTGAAAGCTTTTAGTTTATTGCTTTTCACATTTAGATAAACAGCAGATGCTGAATTCATTTTTTTTTTTTTTTTTTTTTTTTTTTTTTTTTTTTTTGAGATAGAGTCTCACTCTGTCACCCAGGCTGGAGTGTGGTGGCATGATCTGGGTTCACTGTAAGCTCCACCTCCCGGGTTCACGCCATTCTCCTGCCTCAGCCTCCTGAGTAGCTGGAACTGCAGGCACCCGCCACCGTGCCTGGCTAATTTTTTTTGTATTTTTAGTAGAGACGGTGTTTCACCCTGTTAGTCAGGATGGTGTCGATCTCCTGACCTCGTGATCTGCTGGCCTCGGCCTCCCAAAGTGCTGGGATTACAGGCTTGAGCCATACAATTTTATGTGTGGTACAGTAGTCCACCCTTACCTGCAGGGGATATATTCCAGTACCCTCATGAGACGCCTAAAATCATGGATAGTACTGAGTCCTTTATACACAAAGCACACATTTTATTTTTCTTCTTCACAAGTTTGCAAATAGAAGATTCATTCTTACCATGTGTCTTAGCAACCTAACTATACCCTTTTTTCTTTACTTAAGTCAGAACTTTCACCTTTTTACTTAAAGAAATCATTTTTCACTTTCTCTTTGGCATATCCAAATGGCCAGAATCTCTAATTTTGCACTTTCAAGCCGTTATAAAATGAAAATAATGGTTCCTTGAACATAAGCACTGTGATGATCTGCGACAGTCAACCTGACAACTGAGTCAGCTCCCAAATGACTCATGGACAGGGAGCATCTAAATTGTGGATATACCAGACAAAGGGATTATTCACATCCTGGGAGGAACAGCATGAGATTTCATCATGCTACCCAGAACTGCACGCTATTTAAAACTTACAAATAGTTTATTTCTGGAAGTTTCCATTGAATATTTTTGGATGGAGGTTCATCATGGGCAACTGAAATTCTGGAGTAGGAAGCCACACATACGGAAGGGGGATTACTGTATGAGGTAGAGATAAAGTTTCACATTTTTTTATTTAGATTTACTGTTAATCTCACGCCATTTATTGTAAAAGCTTGTTCTTCCCTGACTGTATGAATGATGTTACCTGTTATAAAGAAAATGCACATATATGATGGAATTTTTTTTTTTTTTTGAGACAGAGTTTTGCTCTGTCACCCAGGCTGGAGTGCAGTGACACCATCTCGGCTCACTGCAAGCTCTGCCTCCTGGGCTCACGCCATTCTCCTGCCTCAGCCTCCTGAGCAGCTGGGACTGCAAGTGCCCGCCACCACGCCCAGCTAATTTTTTGTATTTTTAGTAGAGTTGGATTTTCACCATGTTAGCCTGGATGGTCTCGATCTCCTGACCTACCTCGTGATCTGCCCGCCTCGGCCTCCAAAAGTGCTGGGATTACAGGCGTGAGCCACCGCGCCCAGCCGTGATGGAAATATTTCTAAATTGTCTGTGTTATTCCATTGGTTTTTATTCTTGCATCTGTATGATGTCAAATGTATAGTAGTTTCATAAGAATTTTTAATATCTCATATTATTCTTCCAAATTTGTTCTTGCTCAAGTAGTTTTTTTGTTCTCAAGTCTTTATATATATATTTTAAAATCAGACCACAAATTCTCTTTGTCTCTTTTCACTCTCTCTTTCTCTCTCTCTCTCTCACACATACACACACACACACACACACACACACACACCCCCCACACATATGAAGGCTATTATCATGGTTAGATTTAATTTGTATCTGGCATTAATATAGCAATAATTTACATATTTACATTATTGAGTCTTCTAATATATGAGCACAGAATATCCATTTATCTGTATAAATCTTAACCTTATCTTAATAATTATTTTTTGTGTATGTGTCTGTTGATTTCTTACATTGTTACAATTATTTGATTTTGTGTATAATGTTGTGAATGGTACCTTTTAATAATTTTCACTTTGTTTCTTTATTGCTCTTATGTTAACAAACAATTGATATTTGTATATCAACTTCATAGGAAGCTAAATAGCCTTGTCAATTCTAACAGTTTATCTGCAGATTTTGGGGTTCTCAAAACATGTAGTCATTTTCTCTGCAAGTAATGCCAGTTTTATTTCCTTATTCCATTTTATAACCTACAATTTCTTGTTATTTTGTGATTAGCTTGGCTAAGTTCTCTAGTATAATTGTGAGGAGAAATGGTTATATTCCAGATCTCAGGAGGAAGATTTTATTTTTCCATTGCTTATGTTTCCTGTAGGCTTTTGGTAAATAACCCTTTATTTGAATCAAAAAGTACTCCTCTATTCTCTTTTGCTTTTTTAAAAAACTTTTAAGTTTGGGGTAAAAGTGCAAGTTTGTTACGTAGGTAAACTTGTGTCATGGAGGTTTGTTCTACAGATTATTTCATCACCCAGGTATTAAATCTAGTACCAATTAGTTATTTTTTCTGATCATCTCCCTCCTCCCACCTTCCACCCTCCAAAAGGCCCCAGTGTGTGTTGTTCCCTTCTAGGTCATGAGTTCTCATCATTTACCTCCCACTTTTAAGTGAGAACATGTGGTATTTGTTTTTCTCTTCCTGTGTTAGTTTGCTAGGGATAATGGCCTCCAGCATCATCCAAGTTTTTTTTTAATCTGAAATGAATGTCTGTTAAACTCTATCAAATATTATTTTCCTTGTTGATATAATCACATTTTAACCTTTTGTGTGGTTGTTATGTGATGATTTTTAACCTGTAAATCCACCTTGATTTCATGGAATAAATGTAAACTGATCTTTTGGTATTGTGTTTTTAAAAATATATATTATTTCACTTGTGTTGGAGATACATTAATATAAGCACATTGTTTCATAATTTTAGTTTCCTGGGATATCTTTGTGGTTTTTTTCTGTCAAAGTTATATTGGTTTCAAATATAAGTTGGAAAGAGTACTCTATCTTTTTTCCAATGGAAGCATTAAATATTTGGAAGAATTCACCACTGGATCTGTTAGGGGCTGGATTTTCTTTGACAGAAGATTTGTAATGTAAATATAGGAGTATTCAGACTTTTTCTTATTGTGGTGAAATACACATTACATAAGAGTTACCATTTTAAGAAATTTAAAGTTTACAATTCAGCAGCTTTAAATATATTCCCAATGTCTTTCAGCAATTATCACTATCTAATTCCAGGAATTTTAATCACATTCCAAAAAAACACCAAAACCGATTCAGCAGTCACTTTCTATTTGCTCCTCCCCCAGCCTCTGGCAGTCACTAATCTGCTCTCTGTGTCTATGGCTTTGCCTTTTATGAATATTTTATATAAATGATAGCATCACTATGTCAAGTTTTTGTCTAGCAGATTTAACTTAGCATAATGTTTTTCAGGATTATCTGCATTGTAGCATGTATATGTTTCATTCTTTTTGAGAGCTGAATGTTATTCTACCATATAGATGTAGCACATTTGGTTTATCTGGTCATCAGCTGGTGAACATTTGAGTTGTTTCTACCTTTTAACTATTGTGAATAGTGCTGCTGTAAGTATTCAAGTGCAAGTCTGTGTTTGACCAACTGTTTTCAATTCGCTTGGGTTTACCTACAAGAGGAAATGCTAGACCATATGGTAATTTTATTTTAACTTTATTGAGGAACAACCAATCTGTTTTACAAAATGGCTGTACCATTTTACAGTCTCACTAACCATGTGAGATGGTTCTGGTTTTTCAGTACTTGCACTAACTCTTATTTCCCTTTTTGTTTTTCAATTTTCCACTGTGGTCATCTTGGGTCATCTTGTGGGTATGGAGTGGTTTTGATTTGCCTTGCTCTTAGGACTACTGAAACTGAATAGCTTTCCATGTGCCTGTTGTCCATTCATGTATCTTTTATGGAGAATTGTCTCATCCTTTGCCAAGTTTTGTAATTGGGTGGTTTTTTTCTTTTGTTTTTGAGTTGTAAGAGTTTGTTGAACTTCTTGTATGTGTAGATTCATATAGTTCATCAAATTTATGTATGTTTTTCTTTTCTTATACTATTTTGTTGGAATTTTTTATCTTATGAATATTTTCAAAAACTTTTTACTTATGAGGCTTTGTGTCTTTTACATGCTTTCATGTATTATATTTTTATTATTATTTGCTTAACATATTTTCTAAATTTCTTTGAGATTTTCTCTTTAATTAAGTGGTTGTTAAGAAAGGTAGTGTTTAGTTGCCTAGCACTGAATTTTGATCTTAATTTCATCATGATTAAAGAAGACATTCTGTAAGATGTTCAACCCTTTGAATATTGTTTTGGTCTTGTTCACAGTAAATCATATTTTCAATTTTGATAAATATTTAATGTGACCTTTGAAACTGTATACATGCTGCAGTTGCTGGGTACACTATAAAATACATGTTAAGATATTTCTTAAATATTTTATAGTTTTGAAGGCCTTTTAAATACTTTTTTCAGTGAATGAGATTTAGCGACTTCTCATTTTTCTATAATTTTATTACTTATAAATTTAACAGCAATATTTCTAGGTGTACCCAAATAAATATTTTGAATTGAGCATAAGCTATATAGGCTGATTTACTCCCTCTCTGTCACTTCGTTATTATTAATTCTGTCAGAGGCTATTTATTTTATTACTACAGAAAAAGATGGTTAGTGGAATCTACTGTTAAGTAAATGGTGTACTCTGGGGGAAGGATAATCTCTAAAGTTGTCTTTAAAGAAATATTTCCTAAGTGGTTAAATGACTTTTTAAGTATATTGTCTGCATGTACTGAGGCTATGGAGAAACCATAAATATCTGATACTCATCTAAAATATTTTGATGACTCAAGAACTATATTTAACTGATACCTTGAACACCTATTTTATCATTACTAGACAGCAGGACTTCAAATAAACTACTCTAAATCTTTTGCTTGCACTTATTTTTTAAGACTGCTGCCAATCTTTATAATCACACATAAGCATGTGGTAATTTAGTATGCACCTATAATTTGGTATAACATTTGCAGTTGGGAAAGTGGGGTAAAATAAAATAGAATAACTGCAATTTCTTATATTAGATAAGAAGTTATAAGAAGAATATTTTTCAATTGTAAGTACCACATGGGTAGTTTTATTTTTTATTTTTAGTGGCCAAGGTAGTAGCTATATGATTACACTTGGCTTAAAATGTTTTTAGTTAAAATGGTTATGATTATGGTATCTATAGAAAACCTTTGAATGCTCAGTCCCCCATTCATCTGTACAATGAGGTGGATTAGAAAAAATGTTCAGGAGATTTTGGCCCTGCTTGCAGGCATTCACTCCAATACCCACTGAACCAGCGTCAGATAGCTTTTCATTCAGGCACACATCTTGGCTAGACTATTTAATTACCATACGAGAAGGTCAACTCTATTCCAAGCTTGACTGTCTGTTAGTGCATATAGGTCAATATTTATCTGCCAGCATAGAATTGCTTTATTCCAATTACTTGCCAGGGAATACAATCTTAAATTCCCTCCTGCCCAATATCTATCCATCTGAGGCCCTTCTGACAGAAGTCTATTTGTGGTGCATTTCTCCAAGGCTAGTCTGTTTATCAGCTCTTCCACATAATCTGAAATCTACTGTTCAATAGTTCAGACAATCACAAAAGTGAGTAATTGCATCATGTCATGTTTTCTTTTTTTTTTTCTGATTTCTCCCCAAATATTTAAAGCTATTGAATTAGGTGTTTGTGTAAATCTACTGCTATTGAAAGAAACAGCCAATTATTTTACTTATGATTAGGATGCAATAGGGAGATTTTATTTGAAGAGACTTATTTCTGGTTTTTAAATTTTATTTTATTTATTTTTTTGTTGGGATTGCTCATATTTCCCCTGAGCAAGTAGATTTGCCTTAGTCTTATAGACACTGTATATTGTTACACACACCACTTTGGTCACTTCTGTCTTGCTTCTTTTTTTTTTTTTTTTTTTCAGACGGAGTCTCGCTCTGTCGCCCAGGCTGGAGTGCAGTGGCGGGATCTCGGCTCACTGCAAGCTCCGCCTCCCGGGTTCACGCCATTCTTCTGCCTCAGCCTCCCAAGTAGCTGGGACCACAGGCGCCCGCCACTACGCCCGGCTAATTTTTTGTATTTTTAGTAGAGACGGGGTTTCACCGTTTTAGCCGGGATGGTCTCGATCTCCTGACCTCGTGATCCGCCCGCCTCGGCCTCCCAAAGTGCTGGGATTACAGGCGTGAGCCACCGCGCCCGGCCCTGTCTTGCTTCTTGAAAGCTAAGGACTGAATTGAAACTCATCTCTGGCAAGTTCATGACCCCCTTATATATATTTTGTATAGTAACCACTATTCAATGATAATTCTATTTTGAATTTGCTGCAGCATAATTCATTAAACACGAATCTTAAACCCCTTCATTATTTTAGTTAGAAAAAAATAGTACTTAACCTAAGCCATTATGTCCCAGGGTTGTCAGTTTGGTAAATGTGATATTTAAGTATCTTTAACTATGGGCTAACGATACTCAATATAAAATTATTCATTTATTTCTAAAATTTCTTCACAACTCATATTCTAATCTTATCCACATCTTTGCTAGCTATAATTACTTGTAATTTAGAGGTATAAATACCAATGAATTCACAGAGCTGCTCATATGTGCATTGTATACAGCTGCATTAAGACAGCTAAGACCTAAAAGTCAGCCTATGTATAAAATTGCCAGATTGCTTGTGACCTTTTCATACAATGTTTGAAATACATAGTGTTTTATATTCCATAAAACCCAGTAAAAAATGTAGTAAAATTTTGCCTAATTAGTGATACATTTCATAGCATTTTCCTAGATTAGTAATATTGATAATATCTTTTAATGACAAATAGAATTGCCTTACCTTCACAGTTCTTTTCAACTGTGAGAATCTGTGGTTTTTCTAAAGTTTTTTCTCTATAGCTATATAGCAATGTCTGTTAATATATAAATACATGTACATATATAGAGAGAGTATATTTGTGTGTGCATATACATATACACGTGCACATATGTACTTCAAATATTACATTTACTTCATTTTAAATGTATATCTATTTTAATAAGTTTAATGTGCCAGCTTCTTTTATTTGAATTACAAGATGTTATATTAAATGATCTCTGAATCCAATTTGTTAGAGCTCAAATCAATAAGATCTGTTTGGTCAGACATAGTATAGTAGTCTTCCAGTAGCAAAGAAATGAAAACTCAACCATTGATTAATTTAGAGAGACACTACTGACTTTTCTGATTTTTCAAATATATCGTACTCATAAGAAATTTTATATTTGATTTTTCAATAAATGTTTATATATGTTATATTTTCTGGCATGATTTTTGGATTAGTGGTAGCTTAAACCCTGATTTGTGTAAATTTTGTTCCACTTTTTATGTACAAATAAAAATATTAAACTAACATTCTTTCTCAAGTGAAATTTCAAGAATCTTTCAGTAATATAGGATTCTTTTCTAGATAATGTATGGTTTTAAAACTCCTAGTTTCTGGTAGATTTTGTGATGTCACTCAAAGCAAAAATATTAAAGAAAATCCCTCCTCAGTAAAATATATTTTGAATATCAATTTGGAAATATACTTTGAGCATTTTATGAAACTATTCTGGTTTAGAGTAACCATTCAATTATAACATATGAAAAAACAACACGTCGGAATTAGCAACCTTCTATGTTTAAAACCATATTTCCAGATTAAAAATCAACAATGGCTCTGAAAACACCTTCTCTACAAAGTAGAAAAACCCATTTGGAAACAGACAAAACAGGGACCCTTGTAGTAGGAAATTTCCATTGGTCACAACATTAAAACTGCAGGAAACCCACTCTCAAAGTGTAATCTTTTGGTGATAGAGGCCATTTAACTACTAAATTCAGTGTTTCCAAGTGAGCATGAAAAGTGATTTAAAATTTGCCATCAAGTTTTACTAGTTCTATATGTTGGGTTCTCAGCTTATTGTGTAAAAAATATACAGATGAGATTAAAACTTTTATTAAAGAAAATCTTAAAGTTATATTACTAATTTATATAAATCTCAGAAAGATAAAGAAGATATTTTGTTGTCCTAGATAAATTTATAAATTAACTGATCATTTGATGATACAACAATGATAAATAAATGGATTATTAGATAGAGACAAGACACATGAATAGATTTATAACAATTTCTCTTCTTGAAGATGTGAGATCAACTAATTACTGGGAAATGAGTGATTGCAAAGTAGAATTCATTTGGAAACTGTCATATGGTAAACAATCCATTGTAAGGTTTTATTTCTAAGAAGAGCCTCAGAGAAAATGTTCTATCTTATTTATTTATTCTATGGAAGAATAATAAAGTTTATAAAAATATGCACACAATAATAAGCAAACCCTTCTCTAACATTTGTGGGGACTAAGCCAGAAGAACAAATTAATGCCTATATTACATATGCACTGATATTTAAAAGTTATAAACCAAAGAAAATATTCAATTAGCACACTTGGACTGCTCCACATTCCACTCTCAAGTATGGCAGCCCAAAAAGAGTTAGGCACCAGATTCTTTGCTAACCCTTGTCCTCCTACTGCCACTCTTGGCACTATCCTGTACCAGCAAGGGCTTCACACAAACATCTGTGAAAAACCTAAACATTATATTCACTCTCCATCCAATCTTCTGTATAAGTGACTCCCTTGCCGGTCCATTGAGTCTAAGGATGCACACACATTGGAGCATAATCCACATTGCATATCATAGATCGGGGAAAATGTCCGCATGTGCCCTGGAAATAAACTTGAGATCATTTGGGAAGAAAATATCATTGTTCTAAGTATGTGGAATGTAAATTAAAAGGGGAATGCAAGCTGTGGGTGTTCATATTCCCTTAGCTCTGTGGATTACCCTCTCTTAGTAGAGCAGAGAAAAAGTCTGCATGTAACCTGGAAATTAACTTAAGATCATTTGGTAAGAAAATCTCATCGTTTCAGGTACGTGGAATGTAAATTAAAAGGGGAATGCAAGCTGTGAGTGTTCATATCCCCTTAGGTCATATCCCCTCTAAGTAGGGGGAATTGTCACAGTGGGGCATTTTGAACTGCAGGATCCAGGATACCTGTTTCTCTTTCCTGGGTCTAAGACTGATACTGAAACTAAGGTTAAAAAAAAAAAAAAAAAAATGTGTGTGTGAACAAATTGGTGTAAACAGCATAAACAGACATGAACAGTTTAAAAATGATGATGCCAGAGATAATATTAATGAAAAACTTGCAAATTTGAAGTTAAAGTTCTAGGAAAGGAAGAAAAAATAGTATAAAAACATATTTATTGTTCAATAGATCTCAAGGTATTTTTGATAATGGCACAATGGTACAATGAGAATAAGAAATTTTCTTTTATCCTGCTTCCTTCTGAATGAGATGCAATGAAATGTAGTGAACAGTGTCTGGAACAACATTCTAACAGCGAATAATATATTACATTACATATTGTTTAATTTATACTTTTCAGGTTAGCTGGTATGTCAAAAAATCAGAATCATGCAATTGAGATGCAAATACCACTTATTACATTATTTTCTCCCATTCTCCCCCAGCAAGCCAGCCAATAGCAGTTGAATGCAGGGCAATGAACTCTGCTAGAGTTCAGTGAACCTCAAAGGTCCCCAGGGACTTACGGTAGTGGAGATCAAATCGAACCCCCAAATTATATCTTTTATGTTTGTCTTTTTCCCTAATTTTACCATTTTTGGAGGCATAGTCACATCAGTTCCTTAAAACATTCCTAATAAATTTCTCCTACATATTGTATTACCACCACCATCCAAAATGGTTTCATGGAACTAAAAAGTTTCTTTAGACAGATTGCATATATGAAAATAAAAATTTATTTGGCCGTTTTAATTATACCTAATGTTTCTTTTCCCCCCTTAGGGCAGAAAGAATTATTGACAAAATGTACTTGTTGTACTTTTTGATCTCTTGGGCCATAAAATGTAGTCAAAATAATATTTATGTCACTGAAATGTAAACACAAAGTGTTCCTAGTACAGAGTAGTGATTACTCTCAGACTCCAATTAGATATTCATTTAAATCTTGGTTCCATTGCTAGTAATTGTCCAACCTTGGACAAGTTAATATTCCTTTATATTCTTAAACATCATTGTCTTAAAAAGATTATTTATAGGGTTATTTAGTTTAGCATAGTTTCAGGGATACATGATTTCATATTATAGCATTGTCCAAGGACAAGGCAATAATGAACAATGACAAAAGCGACAATGATATTGTTCAGATGTTCTGTTTCTTCCAAATTTCATGTTGAAAAGTCATTTCCAATGTTGGAGGTGGGACCTAGTGGGAATTGTTTTGTCATGTGGGTGGATCCCTCATAAATGGTTTAGCGCCATTCCCTTGGTGATGACTGAGTTCTCACTATTAGTACACAAGATATCTGATTGTTTGAAAAGTCTTGGATCTCCTCCGCATCTCTCTCTTGCTACCTCTCTCACTATGTGATGCGCTGGCTCCATCTTTGCCTTCTACCATGATTGTAAGCTTCTTGAATCCTCGCCAGAAGCTGGACAGATGCTGGTGTGATGCTTATACAGCCTGCAAAACCATGAGTCATATAAACCTATTCTCTTCATAAATTACCCAGCTTGAGGTATTTTTTTTACATGGACTAGCACAAACATTATGGAATTCTGGAAATGAATTCAGGATTATACAGGAAAAAAGTACAGTCTGCTTTGGTATTGCTCTAAAACAATGTAGGCAGTTTTGCAGGCAAATAGAATTTACACATGAATATTCAGCATTGTGAGTCCATCCTGACAATTTGATGGTTTTGTTATAAAGAGTGGTTTTGTCCTCCTGTGCACTATTGTAGTGTGTTGAATAGATGCCTCAATGTGATATATTCAAGCCCCAAACCCTGGTGCTTGTATATGTGAACTTATTTGTAGATAAGATCTTTGTAGATGTAATTAAGTTAAGGATCTCTAGAGGAGATCATCTTGAACTTTGGGTAGGCCCTAAATTCAGTGAAAGTACCCTAAAAGGAGTCAGAAAAGAAGACACAGAAATATACAAAGAGGAAGCCCATGGGAAGACAAAGGCAATGGTTAGAATGACACATGCGCAAGCCAAGAAATACTAGGAATTGCTGCCAGTCACCAAAAACTAAGAGCAAGGCGTGAAACAGATACGCCCAAGGATTCTCTAGAATAAAGCAACTCTTACAACACCTTGATTTCAGGCTTTGGTCCTCCAGAACTATGAGAGAATACATTCTTGCTATTGTAAGCCGCTAAGTTTGTAATAATTTATTATGATATCCCTAGGAAATTAAGACAGCTGTTTCTCTTATATTTTGGAGCCTCTATTAATTTTTAAATGTATATCATGCCATATATAAAGGTATATATTAAAGATATAGGTATTGATACACAGATATAAAATATAAGTGCTATATATAATTAATGCAAATTATTTTATTAGGAATTCTTTACACAATTGTTTTTTAAGAATGAGAATGATGTCTAATGCACTTTGATTTTTTTTATTTGTTTGTTTGTTGTTTCTTATTTTTTGAGACAGAGTTTCGCTGTTGTTGCCCAGGCTGGAATGCAATGATGCAATTTCGGCTCACTGCAACCTCTGCCTCCCGGGTTCCAGCAATTTTCATGCCTCAGCCTCCCGAGTAGCTGGGATTATAGGTACCCGCCAGCACTCCTAGCTCATTTTTTGTATTTTTAGTAGAGACGGGGTTTCACCATGTTGGCCTTGCTGATCTCAAACTCCTGAGCTCAGGTAACCCACCCGCCTTGGCCTCCCAAAGTGGTCTAATGCACTGTGATGAAATTGCAATGTAAAGATTCCTGAAAACATTGTACTGTACAAAATGACCACATTGTTTTTCTGAATTGTTTCTTTAAAAAGAGCATCATTTATCATGATTTAAATAGTGAAATAGCATCATCAGTCATGACTTTGTCATGAAATGTGTTAGCTGGAAGTGGACCTTTATTTGGTGGAAGACTGGTAATGCTGGTGTTATCTTCCTATCTCCTTCTAGTCTATCTCTTTGTCTATAGGTGAAAGCACTTAAAATTAACTACTCTAGTCAGTTTCTTGACGAAAAAGAAAATACAAAGGCAATTCAAATTCTGCTAATTGCCATCAAGCCATCCATAGGTGGAATTCTAAGAGTGTGATTATTACAATGATTTTAAAAATGAAAACTCAACAGTGAACTGTCTTTTATTAGTTGGTGCACAAGTAATTGCAGTTTTTGCCGTTGAAAGTAATGGCAAAATCACAATTACTCTTGCATCAACCTAATGAAATAATTTTGATACAGTCTAATCTTTAGCTATGACCTTGTTACAATAATTATAATATGGACTTCCCAAAGGAGCAAGTAATGAATTAGCTTCATGGGTAACTATAGTATTATTTTACTATTTTTAAGCCAAGGATGTAGATATAAGAATTTCAGTTCAGTATTATTTTCCATAAAAATAAATTACCTGTTTCAAATGTTAAATGTATCACTAGAAACATAACTTGATTATGAAAATTACTGGAATCAACTATGTGTATTCGAAAGGATTTTTTTCCAAGTGTTCTTAAATCAAATTTCGCTTACGTTTATTTCCTAATTTGTTCTATCTGCGTGCTGAAAGATGAGCAACGTTGTGCCTTTTAAAACTGTATACAACTATTTATAGATGTATCTGGGATGGTACAAACAAAATAATGTATAATTGGAATTACCTGATTTCTAAAACTCAATGTAACTCTTTTCTCCTGCTAATGGGTAAAAAAAAAATTATAATATGCACAGTCCAGGAATAGCATATGTACATTAGAGCATATATCAATATTGTACTAGGCAAAAGAAGATATGAAGTGTGGAAATTTATCAGTGAAGCAGCCCTGCTTCCTCCTTTTTATTTTCTTGTTAGGCGTGAGTCATGGCAGAGATATTTTGGAATTTCAAGTAAGTAGATACTGAGATGAGATGGGGTGAATAGTCCCAGCACATTTTATCTTGTACGATAAAAATAACTCTCCAGTCATATGGAGAAGGATGCTTAAATATGACCAGTATTGAGACTCCAAACCACTCTAAGTATGAACAATATGGTATGAAGAGAATAAAATATCTTTGGTTAATTTGCCCCTTTTGAAAGGTAGAAGAAATCTGACCCAGATTTAGTAAAGACAAGTTGCCAGGATATCCGCTCAAATAGAAGGTTTCAACTCATCGTGGTCCTACATTTACACTCTTAAAAGGCTTCAGGAATAACAGTGAACCACAGGAAGTACGCTTCCTCACAGCTGGCAAGGGCAGCCTGAAAGAACTCATGCTGTCCCCATCGTGGCCCACTAGATTGAGGCTGCCAGCTTGGTGTAAGCTGGTCATTTAACACTGATTTCATTCTGTCAGAGAGAAGCCAATCAGGAGTGATTCTTAAATTGTCTCACCTCTAAAACAGGCACTGAATCTGAAATAAGTTCAATGTCCACTAAGTTCTTTTACTTTGAAAAGGTGGAAAAGGATCGTAAGAAATAATAGCAATGCTTTTTTACTCTATTGGAGCAAATAGCCCCAACTAAAATTCTGAAACCTTTGAGGTTACATTACACAAAAGATTCATTAAAATATTTTTAGTTGGAGTGGTTTCAGCCTAACCAGTGTCATATTTCATTTTTCTCGTACTACTTAGTGGGTGAGTCATATATGTGAGAATATCAGTTAAGAATACCAGGCTACACTATTGAAAAATCTTGCACATGTGCTAAACACTGATCTTATATTCTGAGGCAACAATCAACTTTAACTCAATCAGTTTAGTTACATCATATCAAGTGAATTCCAGAGTGTGTCTGACAAAGGTTTATTAACTTTGTTTATGCATTTTTACAACGTAATCATAATTTTAACTAAGGCTAGAAAAGTATGGAAATTTTTTTAAGTAGTCATTTCTGGTTCAGATTGCATCTGGACCCTAGGAGAAATAAATGTAAAATTGATTTCCATCAATTATGGAAGTGTAAGTTATTTGGGATATTGTGGCTATTCCAATAAATAATTTGAGTTGTGCTTCCTAAGCAGCTTTGTCATGACTCTGGAAGAGGATGCTAATATTCTCTTTCTATTAACAAGTTGCTGACGTCTTTTACAGTCACCTGGGGACCCCAAGATACCCCTGACCCTTGTGTCCTGGAATCTCCTTATTAAGTTTACAGCTGAGAATGACTAGGAAATGCAATCCCAAGAGAAAAGAAAAAGGCTTTGCAAATGGTTAAAATGACAAAAACTAGAATACAGCTTTTTAAAACAGAAAAAAATCTATCGTGCCTCAGAAAGCAGGGCTCTAAAATTTTAAAAGCAGTTAATCTACACCAAACACTTATTCTCCTCTTAGAAGCTGATGAAAGTGGGTAGAATCCTGTATGTCTTTGAAATAACTGACCTTTATTTGAACAAAAGGGATCATAAAACTTACTTTGTAAGGTTATTTTCAGGATTAAAATGTTTGGCACATAGAAAATACTTGACATATTGAAGATATATAATAAATATATATTTTTATTATATATAATATTTATGTGTGTTATATTGATATATTTATTATATAACATTATTTATATAAATATATTATATAATATAAATGTTTATGTGTATATGTAGTAAATATATACTTTTTTTCATTTCAAATAAATGACAATCCAAACTGTAAGCAGCCCCTCCCTCCCTTTCTTTTAATATGATATTTTTTTTTGAGAGGGAGTCTTGCTCTGTCACCCAGGCTGGAGTGCCATGGTATGATTTCAGCTCACAGAACCCTCTGCCTCCCAGGTTCAAGCAATTCTCCTGTTTCAGCCTCCCAAGTGGCTGGGACTACATCCAGGTGCACACCACCACGCCTGGCTAATTTTTGTATTTTTGGTAGAGATGGGGTTTCACCATATTGATCAGGCTGGACTTGAACTCCTGACTTCAGGTTATCCACCCACTTCGCTTCCCAAAGTGCTGGGATAACAGGCGCGAGCCACCACGCCCATCCAAGATCTTTTCTGGCCTTATTTTAATGTCATTTTAACCTGATTTAAAGTGCTCTGAGAAAATATGACAAATATTAGTATGAGGTTCTTGATTTTCTAAGAATAGTTTCTCAAATTTGAGAAACTGAGAACCACAGTTTTTAAATGATATTGATCAACATGTTTCTATTTTTTAAAAAAGGAAGTAGATAATGGCTTTTCGTTCTATGTAATTTTCAGCATTTTTTGATATTTGCTTTAAAATGCAAATTTGTAATTCATGGCTTTGAATGTTTACTTTAGACTGCTTTTTTATTTCCAGTCTTCTGTACTACTGAAGTAAAACATATTCAAGCCCACTAAAATTAAACGATTGATGATTAAATATGTATTTTGGTTAAGATATCTCACTTAACCCTTAAGAGTTTGTTCTTTATTGATATCATTAAAGACATCTGTATATGAGATAAATGGAAGTTAAGGACACTTAAAAAAAAGGCTTCATTGGGTTAATATAGGAGTTGAAGTATTCTTAAATATTAACTAACAAAAACATTGATATAGTTTGGCTGTGTTCCCACCCAAATCTCATCTTGCATTATTCCCATAATCCCCACGTGTCACATATGACAGACCCGGTGGGAGGTAACTGAATCATGGGGGAAGTTACTCTCGTGCTGCTGATCTAGTGACAAGTGAGTGACTTCTCACAAGATCTGATGGTTTTGTAAGAGGCTTTTCCCCCTTTTGCTCAGCACTTCTTGCTGCTGCCTTGTAAAAAAGGGAATGTTTGCTTCCCCTTTTGCCATGATTGTAAGTTTGCTGAGGCCTCCCCAGACACGTGGAACTGTGAGTCAATTAAACCTCTTTCCTTTATAAATACCCCCGTCTCAGGTATGTCTTTATTAGCAACGTGAGAACAAACTAATACAAACATCACTGACAGATGTGAAATGTCCTATAAGATTCTGCTGAACATATAATCTTTCAGTTGGTGGTAATCATTGAGTCTATTCCTCATTTGGTCTCCTTCTTAAGGGCATATGCTACAAAACACATCATTCCACAATTTAGGATATAAAACAATAGCTATTTTAGCATGCTCATAATTTTATAGGCCAGGAATTCAGGCAGGGCATGGTGGAGACAGCTACCTTTTATCAGCATAAGTCCTCAGTTAGGCATCTACAATGGCTGGAGATGCTTGTGATAGCTTCAGAGATAAGCCTAGGGTCTTGACTCTGACTGTCACCTGGGTATTCAGTTTCTCTCCATGTATTGCGTGCTGGGGCTAGAATGTACAAGATGAGTTTTGACTTATATGGCTGGCACCTAGGTTAAGATGCCTGGAACTGCTGAGTCTTTACAGGTATCTCTCTGTCCTCAAGGTCATTATATGTATGACCTTGTGGCTACCCTGAGCTTCCTCACAGCATAGCGGTCATGTTGATGGCTGATGTGATACATTGGTTCTTGTCTTCTTAGTTTAAAAGAATTTAAACAAGAGACACACAGCAAAGGAATTACAGTATAGAGTCATTCATTGCAAAAGGAAAAGAATATTTTGTAAGTTAAGTGCAAAATAGATAGTACACCCTGAGAGAGATATTTCTGGACAGGCTGCTTGTAAGAGTGAAACAGCATGGATTGTTGTTGGAGAAACTCCCTTTATGAGAGTTTTACATTATTATTCATAAGGAGGTGGAGAGAGGTGTTACTAGGAATCATTTTATGAGTAGTCTTCTGGATGCACATGTGCGGTAGCTGTACATGCTGGTTTACATGTTGCATGTCTCATTAGCATCTTAAATTTCCAGCCATGGGTGTATTTTTTACTATTATAATGAGCAACGGGTCAGTTTGAGGACAGGTAAGATCAAAATGCACATGCTCTCTAGAAAGGAAAGTCCCTACTGAAGATAGCTTTGTTTGAGTGAGCTCAATTACCATGTGAATGCTAAGGCCTCTCATGTGGGCTCTATGCTCACCAAGGTCACTGCATCCCGAGGACATGGTCATTTTCTTGACTACCTGTCCTGCTTCATTCCGATTGGTTAGACGACCTACATGGAATCTGGGGATTAACTAAAATATCTAATAGTTTTTCATTATCTTTCTATGTTTAGAAGTGAGAAGATATTAAAACATTTTGTTAAATATCAGGAGATTAGAAAGGAGCTAACCATTAATCTGGAACACACTAAACACCAGATCTCCTTTCCTTTGTCATTTAGAAACCAATTAGAATTTTTATTTGCTTTTTATTTGGCTGAGGAGAGGATGTTTAAATGCCTGAATTCAAATCTTCTTTTTATAGGGATAGTATAAAAAAGTGTGAGAGGTGTTTTTGATCTTTACACAGACTTTTAAATCATCCATCCCCCTGTGTCAGTTCATGTCTTTTGAGAATTAGGCAAATAGAATGAGACAAGCAAGAGACTTATTAAAGAGTATTTCCTTAAAGGATAAAAGGGGAGCGAGCAAAAGCAATCAGGGAGGGGCTTTAGAGACAGCTCAAAAACTATGAAAGGAGAAAGGGAAGGAAGCATTAAATAGGAAGAGCCTCAGATCACAGAGGAGATTTGAAGTCTTGGGCAGACGAATATGTAAATCCCAAGTCAAATGTGTGTTAGAGGAATCCCACATTGGGCAAGAATGAACTAGAACAGGTCTCTCTGCTGTGTTCTTTTACAGGCTGAGAGGATCCCTGGAAAATGTGGTGTGTCATGAACACTGGGGAATTCAAGGTTTGGCAACTGAACCTTGTGAATTAGCAGGGAAATGTTCAACATCACTAATCACCAGAGAAATCTACTCTCTATTAAGAAGCCTTGGTGCCATTTTTTGAATACTTTTATTTAGTAAAAGCTGACCTCCTTATATTTTTAAATCTTAGTCTTTTTCTACCTCTCAAGAATTACCAGAAGACACTTTCATTTTCTTTTGCCATGACCACTGTTTCTCTTGAAAGACATATATGTGGTGTGTTCCTCAGGGTTTGATCACACAATCAGCACAAAAAAGAAAGGTTTAGGTTAAGGAATTCATTATAGAAATACGATCTTGCACATTTATTAATAAACCTAAGTTTGTTGCCTTTGCCTCTAACATTGAACCTGAAGTTGATACAAATTAGTTGGAACAACAATTGGGAAAAAAAACACTAAGCATGAAATTTGGGAGAACAAAGACAACTGGTAATCATCTCTGTCCCTCTCTGTCTCCAAACTCAATGATTCAGGTGTCTTGCAGAATAAACACTTGTTATTTATCATGGAGCTACACACACTTGGACAGGACTTTGAAAAGCTGAAGGAGGAGATCTACCCAGGAGGGAAGGAACAAAAGGCTGTGTGTCTCACGACTAGGAGTTAAACTAGCACACCAGTAACAATGCAAGTAGCTACAGTGCTTGGTAATGTCCACTAACCTTCAAAGCATAAATATTAACTTTTCCTCACTCCTGCTTTCCAGATATCACCCAAAATTCCTCTGTTGGCCAGTTTCAACCTGAAACTACACAAAGAAAATCAGTCCTGGAAATACCCCTTGTCAACTCAGCATCTATACACAGCTATTTTATAATATTTAACTTCAAATATAGAAAAGAATAAACTTTTCTTCACTTACATGATAAAACCATATCTTATATATCTAAAAATGAATTAACCTCTTCCTGAAAAAAGAATGCAAAGTCACTTTTGAGTGATATTCATTTTTCTGCACTCCTTTGAATCCCTAACATGTAAATACTGATATATAAGGTTAACTACCATTAATGCATCTTATGTTGGATGGTAGGAGAATGAAAGAGGATAAAATGCTATATATATATATATATATATATATATATATATATATATATATATATGGTGTACAAAATATGTATATACAGTATATATATGTTTATATGACATAAAGATACACTGATTACTATTATAATTTTTGTTTCTGCAACTTACTATGTAGTTTCAACTGGTACGTTTAACTACCATTTTCTAATTATCAATTCAATTTTCCTTTGGTAATCACCTTCAATAACAGGACATGGCAGTGTTATGAGATTCTCTAAGGGGAATCTTACATTTTGTATATATTCTCTATCACCTCCATTATTTAGCAATCATCTTATTTTTCATTGATAGGAAGGCAGCCAGGTCTATAATCCCTTTCTTTACCCCTATTGATTCACTGAAATGAGGAGATGGAAGTGATCAGGCAAATAGGACTATTCTTGCTTCTCATAGTGAAGACTTCCTCTTTTAAGGGGGAAAACCAAGAGAGTCTGAAGTTGTGGGGATGGGAAAAGCATATATTACACTAGTGGGTCAATGGCCTTAATGGTTAGAAGAGCCCTTCCCTTTTTTTGATTACTGGAACTGTAAATTGTGACTATTGGAGAGACAATGCTGTATCTACATCTGAAAGTGCAACAACCCAGGCCTACAGTGTGTTGTTCCCATATCCAATCCAACCAGTGTTATAATTTATCTTTCTTAAGGCAATTCCACTATTTTCTCATGCCAGAGCTTGTGGCTGGTAAACACCTGTAAATCCCAGGCATTATTCCTTGCTGCACTTCATGTGCTATTAAACAAATGGCTTGGTCAGAAGAAATGCTGAACAAAGTATCATGATAGCAAATAAGGTCTATTATAAATTTACTATTCCTTTTTGAGCTCATTGAGGTATAATTTACTTACCTTAAAATTCACCCATTATAACTTTAATATTGAATGCTTTTTAACAAATTTGCACAGTTATGCAGCAATCAGCACAGTTCAGTCGACGAGCATTTGCATACCCAAAGAACCTCCTCATGCTTATTTGTAGTCAATTATCCTACTCCAAGCACCAGGCAACCTATGGTCTGCTCTCTGTCTGTATTTTTTTTTTTTTTTACCTTTTCTGGAAATTTATATATATAGAACCATGCAATATGTCATCCTGTGTATCTGGCTTCTCTCACTTAGCATCCTGTTTATTGGGGTTCACTCACGTTGCAGCATGTATGAGTAACCTATTTAAGTATTGAATAGTATTTCATCGTATGTATAAATAAATTTTGTGTATCCATTCAATGATTCATGGACATTTGGATAATTTGCAGCTTTCAGCAATGAATAATATCTCTTTGAACATTCATATACAGTAGTTATATGAAAATGTTTTTATTTTTCTTGAGTAAATACTTAGAATTGTGATTGATAGGCCATATACTAAGTTTTACGTTTAACTTTTTAAGAAACTCACAGACTAATCTTCCAGAAGGGTGCACCATTTTAAATTTTCACCAGAAATTCACGAGGGCTCCAGGTTTTACAAAACCTCACTAAGAATTAGTACTGCTTGTCATTTATGGTAGCCATTCTAGTGGCTGTACCAGGGTTTTAATCTACATTTACCTAATAACCAGTGATGTTGAGCATCATGTCATGTGCTTATTCAGGATTCATGTATATTATTTTGTAGCCTATTTATATATTTTACCTAAACTAAAATGTGTTGTCTTATTTGTATTTTGTTGTAGCATTTGTTTATTTACCTAGAATACCAGTTTTTTTAATCAGACATATGATTTCTAAACTGCTTCTCCCTGTCTGTGGCTTGTTTTTCATGATCTTATTGGTATTTTTTGAAAGATTCGTGGTTTAAATTTGATGAAAACTTTTTGAAAGTTTACAGTTGTTTCTCTTTCTCGATGATGCTTTCAGCAAAGTATCTAAGAACTCTTTACTTCATCCAAGGTCAGAAATATCTCTTACTTTTTTATTGTAAAATATTTATATTTTTATCTTTATGACCCGTTTGGAGCTAATATTTGTTATTGCATGAGATGTGGGTCATTTTGTTGTAAAATAATATTGTATCGTCTACTTGTTGAAAATATTTTCCATTCCCCATTGAATTGCTTCGGTCAATTTGTCCTAGTGAATTCTACACTAGGCTATAGCAGGTGAGTCAGGAGGCAATAGAGGAGGAGGAGGAGCTATGAACCCCTGTGCCACACGCTTAACCCACTTGTTTCTTTGTGCAGTGCTTGAGAGGATTCTCATGTATTCACTTCCATTTGATAATGGAATGCTGCAGAGTACGCACAAATTTATGGTCAGGTGAGTCAGACCACACTCATTCCATGAGAGCAGCTCAGGTCACATGGTAAATTTTTGTCTCCAGTTCAAGCATTCATTCTCTACTACTGAAATCTGAATTTCAAAGAGCGATTATTGTAAAATCCTAAAAGTTTTACTGTGATTCTTCAATAGGGGTCAGCCAAAGTCTCAATAAATCATCCCCATTTGTCACCTATACTTAAATCATGAATCCCATCACCTGGTTCTTATGGCCAAGTGGAGGAGCAACTTGCACAAAAGACCTCTGGATGCTTTCCTCTACAGGACATCAAGGAAGTTCTGACATTCTAATTTTATTTAAGTCTTTGGGTACAAGTCTCAATCAAGCAATCAATCAAACATTTAGAGTTGTCCCTAGCCATTCAAGTTAACACATTGAATTCAGAATCAGATTAGTGAATCCAAATCAATATAATGGAGCTGCAACATTTTCCTTCCTCCATGATTCAAAATCTCTAGACTCTGTGGCCATATACATTTTTTAGATATTGGTCAGTATACATTGGCAAAATCTTGCAATTTTTTGATATGCATAGCAACTCTTTACCTTGTGGGCCTTGCTGAGATTTGTAACTGAGTATAGGTCTAGGAACAATGAGAGGTGATAGAAGCGTGTCCCCAGAAGCTTTGAAAGCAGTTCCTTGCAAGGAAACTATTTCAAGGGAGACTGTTACAAATTCTTCAGGAAAGGGAAGATCAATGTTCTCAGACAAAGGGAAGAAGGGTTGTTCTACTGACAAAGAAAGCTCTGGATAATTTAGAGATCCAATATTTGGAACTCATTAGAATCTTCTCACATGGCCTTATCCATATGGGTCACAGAACAGGAAGCTATAAGCTGAAAGAGGAGAAATATTCAGAAAGACACAGACATAGCTAGCAGGGCATAATAAACTAGGAAAATAAAGAGCTTCAGGGAGAGAGTGAGCAACAAAGTTGTATAGCTGCATTGAGACAAGAAAGCTGAGAACTGCGTGTCCAGGTAGAAAAAAATGAAAAACCTTTTTTTCTAAATTTTAAAGCTTTTTTGTACTCCCGTCTTCCTGACTATCCCAGTCACTTTCCTCTGAATGTTCCCCATTTCTCTGCGACCTTCCAAAATCATGGCATGCAGAATAAAATGCAGCTTTATGTCACTGCATGTGATATAAATTGAACTAAGAGACAAAAATACTATTAGTGAGATCAAGTGCAAGACAAATAAACTTACTGAGATGCAATTCACTCATCTTTAAAAGGAGTTTAATGATTCCCAACAGTATTTTGAGGAAGATTATCTCAGAAAATATACATAAAATTTAGTCTTTTAAAAACATAAACACTAAAATATAAACTAGTGCCATCACTAAAAACATTTTAGCTAATGCTAAAAGGAATAGAAATTACATTCGTGCAGCAACATCACATTGACGACTCATTTTAGCATAATGTTTACAAAAACCTTAGTTTTCCTTAGCCTGTTACTAAATCACAGATATCTCTCCTGTACTCACAGAATTATCTCTTTAAAATATATTAGACACCAAAATGTATTCTATTTACTTGCTAAAATGATTTGGTGTCACAATCTTCTTATACAGATTGCCTCTGCATAGGTGCCATGCTATCAACACCTATTCAGTACATGTGATGAACAAGCACTATATATATGCTCATACAATTGTTGGAACAAATTTAAGACAAGAACCAATTACAAACTTTTAGCAGCTGCTTCCCACTTTTGGCACTGATGCTTATCACTACTCATAGTGTAAAATCCATCAGTTATAATTCTATTCAGCTTTTCTGTCACTCAATTAAACCTGCATCATTTGAAAAACACAGTAAAATGATTTGTAAAACACATTTAAAAAATTATGTAGGTGACTAATTTTGATTTACTTTTTAAATAATATTTTTCTCATGTTGGAAAAAAGTACAGTGTTCACACGACTGTAAAATATGTTTGGTGGTGGAAATAGTAATGTTTTGCATAAAAGTACAACATGTTTTGATGATTGATTTCCTATTGAAAAGAAACCATCAGAAAAAGACAAGAGGCTAGTCCAAATACTAAGGTTATTTATGAAGTGCATAAGAATATGACCTAGGAACAAGTGAAAATAGATGCAGTAAGTTGATATATTTTATAGGAAAGAAAAAGAAACAAAGCTTATATCCTATTGATTTTTAAGTTATAACAAAAATAGCAAAATATAAACATTTTGGAGTTTAAAGTATAACTATATGTATCTGTGTGTGTGTGTGTGCACACGTGCATTTGTGTGTGTACATAATCACACTGACTTTTTAATGCTGATTGTGTCTTTTTCATAATAATTGGTTTATTTCGGCAGCTTGTACCTACTTCTTTTCCACTTAAGCCTTTTTTTTTTCTTCAGTTTCACCCATGCATTCATCCTTGGTTTATCCCCTGTCCATTTTAATTTATCATAATTGATTGATACTGACTACTTTAGGAGGAAATTATTTAACTGTGAGTGACTGGGGACTTTTCACTTTATTGAAAAAAATCAGCACGCGGGGAAAGGAGGAAACAAACAGACGTCAGCAAACGTGATCATTTGTAGGAAAAAGACTTCAGATGCAATTTGGCTTCTTGAGCTGAATAAAAGCTTATGAAAGTTAAGTTGACATAATTAATCAAATATAAATTTTACATCCTTTCTTGTAAAATAAAACCAGAGATGAAAGTCTTCTTTGAAATTTAATAAGACATGAATATATTCAGAGACTCTATGATGAAATATATACAAAACGAATAAAAACTAACAAGATAATCATATTTTAAAACCATTCCAGAAATATTTACTTCTGGGATATATTGTCTCTGAAAAATTTGATCACTAGAGTAGACATTACATATTATATATTTGATATGCATGTACAGTCAAGGAAGATATAATAATAATTCACGTGTTACTAACATGAAACCTTAAATACAACAGATCAGAACCAGAGTTAGCAAGTGCAGCTCAGCTAATCAATCCCGGTGCCCTCAAACTAGATACAGTTTTGTTGTTATTGTTGGGATCTTTCAACAAATTTCTTTTGCTCTCTTGAATATACGATGAATTGTTAACGCTTTTGATAACAACATGAATGAACTGGCTACTGAAATCCATGAGCCAACAGCTAAATTCCTGGTTAAAAATATTTGCACAAAAACTGAAATAGAAGCTATCATTTCACAATCTATTAGAAAGATAAAATTTGAAAAAAAACAGAGGTGAATTGAATATATTTTATGTCTCCTGAAATAAGTAATATAAACAAATTTGAAGATATTTCTCAAAATTCTTTAAGATATTGGTTTACAGTAATTTCAATGAAAATTTACTTAAAATATTAGATATTTTGCAGAAGTTAATATTTTATAAATGTGATTATATATAAGTTCATCAAGTACAATTTGTATGCTTGAAACATTGTGAAAACATCTTAAATCTTAAAAGTTTACCTTAGTTAAGATTCAAATCACGTTACTAAATCTTGATTATAGTAAGAAGTTCAATTGTCAGAAACAATGAAACATACAATAGGCAGAAGAAGAAGGCCTATATAAAGGTTGTTTCTACACATGATGTAATCAACTCCATATCTTCATGTGCTATGTTTTTGCTCTCACCAAAAAAAATTAAAAATCTTTTTCTTTCATATTTTCTGAATTTTCTTTTATAGTTTCTAAAATTTTTTCCTATGTTTGTAGCTCATAGAGATGAAGTCATCTTATATTGTCTCTTAATCACTCTTTTTATGCAGACTGCTCATTCATTCCAGTATTTCTGCCATGCTCATCTCCTGTAAGTAGGCAAAATACAGCATCCCATCTTGGGATGCGGTAGGAATACCATTAGACCACTGAGTTCATATTACTTTTAACATGTTTACATATGAGCTATGAATACAATGACACACTGCCACAACAAGGTTATGTATTGGTATATATAGCACAAAG
Organism: Homo sapiens; assembly: GCF_000001405.40. Taxonomy (NCBI): domain Eukaryota; kingdom Metazoa; phylum Chordata; class Mammalia; order Primates; family Hominidae; genus Homo; species Homo sapiens. Next base: position 27,304,335 of record NC_000005.10, on the reverse strand, counting down.
AATTACACAAAGCCAATATTAAGATTAAATAATAAAATAAATTAAAAGTAGAAGTATCAGGACTGAGAGTACTGGCAGTTTTGCATTCAGAGCAAGCTAGATTTGCTTTCCCAGCTTCATCAGTCACCAGAATCTGTAACTGTGGCATGTTGATGAAGGTTGTCTTTATGTGATTGGTTGCTTTCATTTTTTAGATGTTTGAAACAGTCCAAGAAACAAAATAATATATCAAATGATGCAAGAGAAAATGAATTCAGGAAGTTTATGCATCATGTTTTGAATGATGAGGGCAAACTTGGTAGAAAACAAAATTAGACTAGCTAATATACAGTCAGCTAATAAAAAAGAAAGAATTCCCAAATACAAAATAATACTTAGAAATGATATTTAGAAATATATGCATATATGGATACATTTATGCAGAAATTGATACGAATATTTACACAATATCCATATATGCATACATTTGGTCAAATAATATCTTTCCTATTACCTTGTCTCCTATAATAGAATTTATTCACCAAGACACACTCTCTCTCTATGAGCCCTACACTGTTAGGAAAATCTTTGGTAAACAGAAAACAGTAGTAAATATAATCTAAGCTGGCATAATTATTAAAGTGGCCACTTGTTTTATAATTGTATGCACATAATTAATCCCAAAGATTTGAACTAGGTAACATATTCTGATTTTTATATAAATCAAATAAATAACATTATACTTTAAGGCATCTGTTTTGAAATAGCCTCCTAGAATTATTCTTGTAAATTTGTATGTTTGATAAAGTTGTAAAAATGTATGATTGTCAACCTCTTAGTGTAATTTTAAGATCATAAAGTATCAGAGATCACATGGTAACACTTTTTTAAATGATGAAATAAGTCATTAGTACTGTAGAATCTGGTGACTCTCCTGTGGTCTCACAGTTTTGTAAGAGGATGTGTCTACTCAAAGCAAAGGGGGAAAATCTGTTTTGGCAGATATCAAGACAAAATTTTTAAAAAATGCTTTCTCTTCAAAATTTTAATTACACAAAAGGATCATTATTCTCCTTGTAGACCCCCAAATGTGTAGAAATTCTATGAAATAAAAAATACTCTGCTCAGCATCATTCTTAGGTAAAATATAATTTGTATAACTTTATAATTTATTGTATAGTACATTAATCTAAAATTGAATAAGATAAGATATTATGTTAAAAATATTCAGTGCACTTTCAAGTAATTTGGCTTTATGATATTTAAGAGCATCTGTCAGGTTGTGGCAATTGGAGAGCCCCATTTGTACAAATAAATGTCTTGTGTGCTTGTCTAAAGACATTATCTTAATTACCTTAAATTTTTGTTCCAGACACAGTTTTTCATTGAAGAATATCCATTATGTACTTGTATGTATGTCTTTTATAGTCAACATTGTGTATTTCTTAATATATAAGGCGTGTCGGTATAATATTTTAAAAACTAATATAATTAAATATGCAAAAGCAAATTAAGTCCATGGCTTCTATTCTCATGCACATGAATCAACAAACAAAATTTTGTGAGAAAATCCGGTACAATAAAATGTCTAAAGAGTTTCTTTCACAAGCATCTGTATGTTTACTAAGAAAATCAGCTTAAATTAACTGAAGCCTTCACTATCTTTACATATAGTCCCATTCCACTCAGTTGTTTTTAATACCTGGACTAGTTATGGCCTACAATTAGCCAAGAAGGAAAAGATGATAGCAGCACTAGCCCCAGTTCTCTCTGATCTCTGAACCCCTAGGATCAAAGCAAAACAGTTTAAAGGAGTGTGATTTGTCTCTTGGGAACTATATGGCCTGCAACAGAGGTGATATAACTGTTCACATTTGTTTGCAGGGTGCACTATGGTTGTTTAACTGAGGAAATCGAAGTATTATACCAACAACCAGGATGTGCACCAGAGCAGTACAACTCCCAAGTGGAGCTCTGTTCTCTTACAGTGCACTGGCCAAATTAAAGGGAAATCTTCTCACTGGTTAGATACTTTAAGAAAAGTCACGGCTGCAAGTCTTTGCTATTGTAAATAGTGCTGCAATAAACATACGTGTGCATGTGTCTTTATAGCAGCATGATTTATAATCCTTTGGGTATATACCCAGTAATGGGATGGCTGGGTCAAATGGTATTTCTAGCTCTAGATCCTTGAGGAATTGCCACACTGTCTGGAACGAACCCAAATGTCCATCAATGATCGACTGGATTAAGAAAATGTGGCACATATACACCATGGAATACTATGCATCCATAAAAAAGGATGAGTTCATGTCCTTTGTAGGGACGTGGATGAAGCTGGAAACCATCATTCTGAGCCAACTATCGCAAGCACAGAAAACCAAACACCGCATGTTCTCAGTCATAGGTGGGAATTTAACAAAGAAAACACTTGGACACAGGGCGGGGAACATCACACACTGGGGCCTGTCGTGGGGTAGGGGTTGCGGGGAGGGATAGCATTAGGAGATACACCTAATGTAAATGACAAGTTAATGGGTGTAGCACACCAACATGGCACATGTATACATATGTAACAAACCTGCACGTTGTGCACATGTACACTAGAACTTAAAGTATAATAATAATTTTTTTTTAAAAAAGAGTCACGGCATTTTTATAGGGATATTTACTCCAAGACTTTCTCAAAAACTTTAGAATTTGATGATTACTACCTTAACTGACATTCTCATTTAAAAACAAGTTGGTAAGGCTATACATTATAGCATTTTGTGTGTCTGTGTGTGTGTGTGTGTGTGTGTGTGTGTGTGTGCATACGCCATGGATTGATATCTGCTAAGAAAAACCAAAGCAATGCAAAACAAACAAATCCCAACAAACACATAAAAAATTTCCAATTTAGTTTTAACCACTCTTGAGAATAATTCAATGTTAACTGTTTCTTTTGCCAAATAAAAAGTAAAAACATATTTTTAATAATTTTGTATATGTGTGTTTGTAATATACTTATATGTTTTATATATAAACTCATACATGTAAAAAAACACACATATGTGTGTGTATTTGGAATTTGTATTTCCCCAAAAATTATTTGAATTATTGTTTTTCAAAATGATTTTCCTAAAATTTAAATTAGCATGCTTTGCAACTAATCTTTTCAGACAATATAATTACTTGCATGTTTATTGATAAGTTATATCAAGTAAAGACTAAAGAGCTAAACTAAGCATTAGATAAAAGTAGTGGGAGAAGGAAAGAGAGAGAGAGGAAGGGAAGGAGTGAGAGAGAGAGAGATAAAGAGAGAGAGAAATTATATTTCAACCATAAGAGATGTGGCAAAATTTAGAGGCCTAAATTCAGTGGCTTAAAATCACTCAATAGTCTGCAGGTTGGCTTCAAATCCACTATGTTAGGCTTGTCTCCAACCTCTGGTCTTTGGCCTTCAGTTTCTAGGTTTCAAGCTGCAAGTTTGATTGCAGTCTGCTTTTTGGACCAGCAGCTACCTGGGCTGTATGACCAGCTTTATATTATCTTACTCTGAGGACAAGGGTGAGACATGTTCGTCTCATGGTAGGTTGCTGAAATATAATACAGCAAGTCCAACTTTGCAAATATATTTCAACTGTATGCTTATTTCATGCCAGCTGATATCCTGTTGGCCAAAATAAGTCACATGTTCAAGCCCACGTGCAAAGAGGTGTGGATATATACTTCACATGCCATAGACCACGTTAAGAATATGAAGGTGTAGTTTAACTAAAGCAGACTGAAGAATTGACAATGATTCAATAAATTACACATCACAGAAATGTCCTAGCTTAGAGTACCTACTGCATGCAGGAAATTTTTGAAGGGCATGTATATATTTGATCATTCATTTTGCAAACAATCTTTTGCAAAAATTACCATGGTTATTTTCTGTGGTACCCACATGGAAACTGAAGCTTAAAAAGAAAATGTGGTTTTCTGAGCAACATTCATTTTTGTAGATGTCCTAGTTTATTCAGGAGGCTAGAACAAATTAACACACACTAGGAAGCTTATAAGTAACAGAAATTTGTTTCTTATAGTTCCAGAGGCTGGGAACTTCAAGATTAAGTTACCGGCAGAGTTGAGATCTAGTGAGGGCAGGCTTCCTGGTTCATAGGCAGTCGCCTTCTCTTTGTGCCCTCACATAGTGGAAAGGGTGACAGAGCTCTCTTTGGTATCTTTTTTAATAAGTAAACTAATCTTGTTCATGAGGGCTTCCCCCTTCTGATCTAATCACCTACCAAATATCTCATCTCCTTATACTAGCACATGGGGGTTTGTGATTTCAACACAAAAATTTTGGAGGGACGCAAATATTTAGTCTATAGCAGTAGAGTAGGCTTCAGAGTCATACCCAATTCAACTGATGTTGCAACATTGGCATTTTGGTGACTTGTTGTCTCTGTATAGAAGAGAATGTGATCCCAGAAATCCTGTTAGAGAACTTAGCCCTTCACAGTGGTGAAGAGGAGAGACCTGATGGAGGGTGCTGGATCACAGAAGGGAGGGTGATGTCCTTTGGCCCAAGCTACAATCTAGGAAGATATGGTCTCTCTTGTATCTTTCCTTATTGCTCACTACACTCTTCCTATCATATCCTTATCACAGAAGTGGGGCAGTGGCAGGCAGGGCATGAGAATTTCCTCCTTTCATAACAGCATGGATGGAATAGATTGTTGTGCATGGGCAATAGGCACCCATTTTGAAATAAATACATTTATCTTCTAGATAAATAGATCGGTAAGGGAATACAGATTCACGGGCCAGAATCATCGTTCCCCAGACACTGTTGGTACAAATAAAAGTTACCACTCCACGGACTAGCAGTTTGAGACAAACAGGAACTGCGCATTTTGATTGCTTCATATGTGCTGACCTGTCTTGATTTATAGACCATCTTGGAAAATCGTGTTAACCCAAAGTGACTATACTAAACAAACCTTAATAATATACACCCTTACTCTTCAGAAACACAAACTTTATCTGACCGCTGTTCATCAATTGTGAAGACTGAAGAGTTGGCATTAGGTAATAACCTATGATGAAATCATTTAATATCCTTGGAAGGCATATAGATTCTGAAAGGAATCACAGAGAACACATTGGGGAATATACCCAAGGGGCAGTTCACAAAAATTCACTTCTCATGTTTTTGTGGCATATTACAATGTTCAAGCCTGCTTATTAGAATTGTTTTAAATTTCTAAGTCAGTCATGAACATATAACTTTGCTAGAATCTGCCTTTTTTATTGAAAACTTTCTCAATATTTCAGTAACTAACTTCAGTAAATAATGTATTTTGGGGGGAAAAATCTTACTGCAGGCTGTGTTTACAAGTATATACTGTATATATTTATATACACACATATATATGTATATATATAATACTTTAAACTAAATACGTCAAGTGGAGGTTTATTTGTTTGTATGTTTGCTTAGGATCTTTCCCTCTGCTGTGAGAAAGATTGGCTGCATTTTTCTACACTAACACCTTGATCTCAATCCACGTTCACACAGAGATAACTTCAATCCTTGCTGCAGTTTGAATATAAGCCTCATCCTTGGCCAATTATGGCATGTATCCATTCAGCTACAATGATAAGTTCAGAAATTATCATGTGATCAAAGCTGGGCCAATAAGAACACATAAAGTTAAGTTGTATTTTGTTGTTGTTTTATATTGAGAGTTAGTATCATACAATGTAGTATTACAATGGAATGTGGTACTATAATGGGAAGGTAAGATAGAAGGATGGAGTTATGAATGGTTAACTTGGCCTCCTGATAATAAAGAAAGTAAACAGAACTAAGGTAGAGCCAAGAATGGAAACTCCCAGGTAATGTTTCCTATATCTAGCTGTAACTGAGGATTTATTCCTGGGCCTTTATTTACTTATTTATTTAGTTGCCATGATAGTTTATTTGATTACTGGGCCTTTAAGTTTAAAACACCAAAGGATATTTTTAACCATTAGAGGGGAGCTTTGGATACCTGCAATCAAACTGATAATAATGATTTGTTGTGTTATTAATAACCACAAATTCTAAAAAGATCGAATTTATGATAGTTACATGTAATTTACTCTGTTGTCTTAGAGTGAAACTTGAATACTCATAATAATAATGAGACCCATTGCATATCATATTCAAATGAGAAATTTTTCTAGAAAAAGGACAGAGTTCTAAGAATAAACCATCCAGTAATCAACTGTGTTGACACTTTACGTACATCTTACCAGGATACGGTAATAGTTTATTTTTAAAAAAATAAACAAATATTAAATATACTAGATTTTTTAAAATGCCTATTTTATAAAATTTAGCTACTGCAGGTGGTAAAAATCTCTCAACTCAATTGCTATTAGGAGAGTTATTTATTTTGCTATACCAGATTCATTTAGATATATTATTGGTTAATGGACACTAAATGGCAGGTAATATGTACAAAAAAAGCAACATTTAAAATATCGTTCTTCACAATTAGTGAGGAATCTCTTTAAAGAAAACTTAGATATAAATTTGTATTTAATTAATTGTAGTCATACTGTTACCGGGAATTCTGCGTTTAATGGATTCTTTAATCAAGGAGATCAACAGAGCTGGAGCTCTGGAACAGCAATCTCTGTTCTTGTGACAGTGAGCAAAGAACTGCCGATGAACACCAAAGTGTAAGTTCAAAGCGAAGTTTGTTGAAGCACAGTAATACACTCTCAGAGGAAGAACGGGTTGATTTCTGCGAAGTGAAATCAGCACCAATTTACGGAGCTCAAAGTGCTTTTATGGGATTTGTCGGGAGAAATTAAGATTCGGGCTGTGTCTGAGTGACAGTTTGATGTTATTTGATTGGCAGTTATATAACTAAAGTTAAACTGCGCATGTTTTTACACATAATTCGTTAAGAAAAGCCCACTCAGGGAGCAAAACTATGTGTAAAGCTTATTATAATGAGGGTATGATGAGCTTAGGGTCAACTTGAAGATTCAGTTTCAGGTTAATGGGCACTGGCCAACTAGGGAATGTCCATCTGTACCTTTGTTTCTCCTTCTACAGGATGTGCTGGCCACAGACCTTAACACAAACTCCATCAGTAAGGGCAGAGTTAGGGCAGTTCTGGGGCTGAACTTGGATGGGCCAGGGGCTGTCTTAGTGACAGCCTTTCTGCTCTCTTCTGCTAGCCCCTCCAGCTGCTAATGTCTCTCTCACTACCTAACAATACAACTTGAGCATCTACATTTTTATGAGCCCTTCAAGTGACTTTGAACAATTCCAGAATTAAAATATTAAGAATATATGCCTCCAGATGTATGTAATAAAGGGAAATATTAAACAAGAACTTTGAATTCCATATTCACAACCTGTTTTCCAGTTGTACAGACATTTCAATATGCGCAACTGCAACTGTTTGAATGTTTGTCTCTTCCAGAACTCATGTTGAAATTTAATTGTCATCATAGCAGTATTATGAGGTGGGACTTTTAAAAGGTGATTAGGCCCTGAGGGATACATCCTCATGGTGGGTTGCTGCCAATATAAGAGGGTGAGATTAGCTCCCTATTGCTCTCTCTAGCCCTCTATTTTCCCTTCTGTCATGTCATTACAGAACAAACCTGTCCTCATGAGATGCCAGCCCCTTGATCTTGCACTTCCCACCCTCCAGAAATGTGAGCCAATACATTTCTGTTCATTATAAACTATACACTCTAGCATTCTGTTGTAACAGCAAAAGACAAACTAAATGACTTAGAATTTTAATTAACTTGATCAACAGTTTTTAAAAATAACATTAAAAACATAATAATTGTACAAACACATTTTATTCACTTATCTTTTCACTGTTATATACATTTTCATAATGACCTTTAATGTTTTAGAGCTGCCAGTGCTTTAATATTATGTTCATTATTACACCCATTTGTACTTGCACAATTTTTGTATCTTATTATTTATTGTAGTTTGAGGATGTGCATTCCAGTTTAATTTTCTTAAATAACAAATTGGATTTCTGTGACTTTTTAAGAAATTAATATAATCGTTGTATTTTCTGATACTTTTCTAACATTTAAGGTGTGAGGATAACTTTTCAAGGTTTCATATAAGGAGATAAAATGCAACCATTATTCCCTTCTGAAAGAAGAGTATTTAGTAGAGAAACTTTCACTATATTATCCTCTTTTTATTAAATTTTTAAAGATAAGATAAAATAAGCAGTCTCATAAATATGAGTTTATTATTCAGCAATAGATTTAAAACTAGTTTCACCAATTTATAATCTTGGAAAATACCTACTCAGAACATAGTTTGTATTTTGAATGTCATTTGATTTTATAGAATTAGAAAAACATCTAAGTTTGATGTTAACGCAAGGCATACACACACGGGCACACACACATTCATTTTCTTCAGCCATATTTCAATTTTAACTGGAGAAAACACTACTTACATTTAAGAGCTTTTGATATATTTTAATCTTTAAGACTGTTTTGCTATTGTAATAGAGTCTAGAGCAGTCCCCATTCTCTTTTTACTTTTACTTCTATGCAGTGCCTGTGGTAACTGATCATCTTTACTGACCACAGCCCTTCACATCAAATTTAATGGGTCATTTACACATCAACTCTAACATCTAGCAACTTTAATGTAGTTTGCTTTTGTCTTATTAATGATATTTATGTTATATCTAGGTAAGTGTATTAAGTTATCTTTGCTTTAAAAAAAAGAAAATATTTCATTCCTCAATAAGGACCAATTTGATTTAGGAAATGTAAAGTTACATAATTCTCAGCGAAGTAACATATTTTGGAAATGTACTACAAGAATATATTATACTTTATGGCTTATAAAGTTGACGGATAATATAAATCAACTGGGAAGTTTGCTAATAATACAGATTCCCAATACACAACTCAGATTTAATGAAGCTGAATCTCCAGGGATGAGACATGGGAATTCTGTTTTTAATATGTGTCTCAGATGATTGGTATAATTGGTGTAATCAGATGATTATATTTGAAACAAGTTCAAAGTTAGATGTGCCTCCTGACTAACTATAATAACTATGAGAGGCTCTCCTGTTATGCTAAATTACTTAGTTTTCACAGTAGACAAAGAATCTTTGAAATATTCTGATTAGACAAAAATGAGCAAACATGTACCATCAAAAGATAACTCTTGGAGCAATGTGACAAATGGTGGTTGATACTAGAGGCAAGAAAGCTAATAAATGGCACCTGTTTTTCAGATGTCCAGTGAGGTAATCCTATAATAGTGTGGTTACTGTGGCATCTTCGCAGAAAGATATGACTTTGAAAGGCATGAGGAAATAGCTTTACTTGCTGATTATTAGGGATAAAAGTAATCTACTGTATTAGATTGTTAGGGCTGCCATAACAAAATACCATGGACTATATGGCTTAAATAACAGAAGTTTATTGTCTCACACAGTCCTGGAGGCTGAAAATTCAAGATCAAGCTGTCAACTGGTTTGGTGTCTTCTTAGGCCTCTCTCTTTGGCTTGCAGATAGCCACATTCATGCTATGTGCTCAAGTGACCTTTTCTCTGTATACATGCACAATCCTAACATCACTTTTAGCGTACAAAGTTCCTCTTCATATAAGGACACCATTCAGATAGGATTTGGCCACACCCTAAATGTCCGTTTTAACTTAGTCACAACTTCAAAGGTCCTTCCTTCAAAAACAGTCATATTCTGAGATACTAGAAGTTACAGTTTCAACATATTAATTGGGGAGGGAGAAAGATTCTGCCTATATGTGTAAAGCTCAGAAGACACCAAGAACAATGGTTTGACACCTAATTAGGTGTCAATGCACTTTTCCTAGACAGGGATACATATAAATGGTAAACAACATGGATAATATGGTTCATTAGAATATGTTGTGTTTGAATTGCTTATAGAAAATTAAAGCAGAGACGCAAGTAGACAATAGATTTATCCATCTATGTAGGAATGTGTGTGCCTCTGTGTGTGTGTTCATGTATGTAAGCTGGGTATACAAAATAAGATTGCTGCATTAGAAGGAAGTAAAACAGTAGTTTCCAGGGGATGGAGAGAGGCAAATGGCCAGTTGATGTTTAATGTGTGCAAATTTTAGTTTGGGATGATGAAACAAGCTCTGGAGATGGATCGTCGTGATGGTTACATAACAATATGATTGTACTTATTGCCACAGAACTGTATACTTAAAAATGATTTAAATGGTCAGTTGTATGTTATTTATATCACAATAAAAACACAGTTTCTACCACTCCAAAAAAGAAAATATAATATAAAATGAGGGAAAAATTAGACAAAGAATAGTTCTTATGTTTACTCTTCAAAATATCCAAAAGTGTTATCGCTGATTTAATTAAATTTATTTTTTTCCCTCATGAGTCATTATTAGCTGTGCAACAAACAACTTTAATTCTCTCTTGTGAAAGAGGCTTAACTGTATATTTCATTAAATGAAGCTTAGACGTTACTTAGCCTTCCTGGTTAAGTGCTTTGTGTTTTCCTTATGTGTAGCTGGATGAAAATATAGAGTGGGTAGGTGTGTATTTCTGTACTAGCACAACCTCTATTACCTTCTCTTTTTTTTTCTTTCTTTTTTTTTTTTTTTGAGACGGAGTCTCACTCTGTCACCCAGGCTGGAGTGCCGTGGTGCAATCTCGGCTCACTGCAAGCTCCGCCTCCCGGGTTCACACCATTCTCCTGCCTCAGCCTCCCGAGTAGCTAGGACTACAGGTGCCCGCCACCATGCCCTGCTAATTTTCTGTATTTTTTAGCAGAGACGGGGTTTCACTGTGTTGGCCAGGATGGTCTCCATCACCTGACCTCGTGATCCTTCCACCTCGGCCTCCCAAAGTGCTGGGATTACAGGCCTGAGATTACCTTCATTTTTCCTCAAGAAATTGGCTTCTCAACGAATTAACGTGTTTCAAGGTTTTTATCTTTTTATGTAATTAATTATTCCTTAAATGATTTAGTTAGAGTAAGTCATTTTATTCAACGAAAACAGCAGCCTCTAAACTTTTTGGCACCAGGGACCGGTTTCATGGAAGACAATTTGTCCATAGACCTGGGTGGGGGAAGATTTCAGGATGATTTAAGTGCATCAGGTTTATTGTGCTCTATTTCTATTGTTATTACAGTGTAATAAATAATCAAATAATTATACAACTCACCATAATTGAGAATCAATGAGAGTTCTGAGCTTGTTTTCCTGTGTGAAAGGAAAATAAATCTCGATGCCCCAATCACTCAGCTAAAGGAAAAAGTCAAGCTGGGAACTGCTGAGGGCCAAACTGCCTCTCATTGTATTCGAAGTCACCCCTCTGCTCACTGAGATCAATGCATATCTGATTGCCTCCTTTGGAGAGGCTAATCAGAAACTCAAAAGAATGCAACCGTTTTTCTCTTATCGACCTATGACCTGGATGTCCACTCCCTGCTTCAAGTCTTCCCACCTTTGCTTCCAGTTGTTCCACCTTTGCTTCCAGTTGTCCCGCCTTTCCAGACTGAACCAATGTTTTTTTGTTTGTTTGTTTGTTTCGAGACCGAGTCTCGCTCCGTCTCCCAGGCTGGAGTGCAGTGGCGAGATTATCATGTGTAAATGCTAGGAAATCATTCTACATATCATTTTGTCACCGCATACATTTATTTCTCCTGTGAGAAGATGTAAAAGTGGAATTGTTGGAGCATAGGGTAGGTATATGCTTGGATTTATTACACATGATAAGTCGTCAAAAATGGTTAAATAAACATCCTCTCCCATCAACAATGTGTGAATGTTTCAGTTGCATAATACAACGCAGCGAAACCGTTTTAAAAAACTGATCTGACACTAGCTTTTGCATTTAATAGCTATCATGATTCTTTTTTTTTTTTGAGACGGCGTCTCCCTCTGTCACCCAGGCTGGAGTGCAGTGGCGGGATCTCGGCTCACTGCAAGCTCCGCCTCCCGGGTTCACTCCATTCTCCTGCCTCAGCCTCCCAAGTAGCTGAGACTACAGGCGCCGGCCACCACGCCGGGCTAATTTTTTTGTATTTTTAGTAGAGACGGGGTTTCACCGTGTTAGCCAGGATGGTCTTGATCCCCTGACCTCGTGATCCGCCCACCTCAGCCTCCCAAAGTGTTGGGATTACAGGCCTGAGCCACTGCGACCGCATGAACCAATGTTTATCTTGCTTATGTTGTTTAATGTTTCCTGTCTCCCTGGAATGCATAAAACCAAACTGTGCTCTGACCATCTTGGGCACAGGTCGTCAGTTTTAGGGACAAGCTGCCCCAGGACATCCCCACTCCCCCACTCCCCCCACCCTCTGCCAACTCAATGCCACTGACCCTTACCCTGAATACTCTGCAGCTGCATTCTTGGACCCTTATCTAGGCGCTACAGCAAGGTCACCAGACTTGCTTACAGCCCTCCAGTGGCATGGGGGAGGTCATGAGAAACGTGGATAAACCTAAGTTACACCCTCTTGTAAATTCCTATATCGTAAGCCAGTCACGAGACGATATGTGGTAAAGTTAATCCATGAACAACCCCAGCGTCTCTTTCCCCCGTATAAACCCCTCATTTTGTAAGCTCAGGGCTTCCTCCTCTGACTGTGGTGGAGCAGCCCTGCAGCTTAATGAACTTACTCACCTGACCTTGGGTCTCTCTCTCTCTCTTGCCCTTTCTCGGCTAACCTTACAGTCAGGACCTCCTGAGGCTGTGTCACAGACACGTGTCCTAAACCTCGGCAAAATAAACTTTCTAAATTAAATGGAACCTGTCTCAGATTTTTGGGGTTTACACCTGCAACTAGACTATTCCATCTGGGGTGATGAGAGACAGTGGCAGATCATCAGGCATTAGATTCTCATAAGAAGCATGCAACTGTGCCTTCACATGTGCATTTCACAATAGGGTTCATGCAGCTGATTATCTAATGCCACCGCTGATCTGACGGCAGAGGAGCTCAGGCAAGTCAGGTGAGGGATGGGGAGTGGCTATAATACAGACCAAGTTTTGCTCACTGGCCCCCTGCTTACATCCTGCCATGCAGCCCAGTTCCTAACAGGCCACGGACCCACACGAGTCCAGTCTGTGGCCTGGGGTTTGGGAACCCCTGGACTAGAACACTCAAGACCATATGACACAACATCTTTTCTATATGATTTTGTGTTACATGTCTCATGTAAGCAAGTTGCATGCTTACATGAGACAATAAAATTCCATTAAAGAAAGAAATTAGAAAATATTTTACACATCACTTTGTGACAAGTTCAAGAGATCATATGTAAAAACTATTAAGCTGAAAGTATCCAGAAAAAAAGTAAGATAAATAGTGTCCATTAATTATTTTCTCTAAAAATATGAAAGTCATATCAATTTTAAGTCACTAGTTTGCAAAGGAATCTCAGCAATACAGCTCTATATATTAAAACAATATTATCTAAGAAACTACATCTTTACACATGCATACTGGTTTATTTATATGAGAGTTTATTAACTTGAATTTAATATATTCTATATTTATAGTTAAAAACCAATATAATATTTCTCTGTTCTCATAAGTAGTTTTGTTACCTGTAAAAGTTGTCCAGGTTCTTGGCATCTTGAACAAAAAATTGGACAAAATGCACAAAGCAAGGAAAGCAAAAGCAAGGATTTATTGAGAATGAAAGTACACTCCACAGTGTGGGAGCAGTCCCGAGCATAAGGTCTTAAGAGCCCTGCTTATAGAATATTCTGGGGTTTCAATACTCAAGAGATTTCCTATTGGTTACTTGGCATATATTCTATGTAAATGAAGAGAATGAAGTGAAGTCACAGGGTCATTTACTCAGAATGTGCCCTATTGTAAATGGAGAGGATATTACTTGGTGTGTGTGATCTAGGTAAATGGAGAGGATGAATGTGAAGTTACAAAGTGTAAATAAAGAAGATGTTACTTGGTGTGTGTGGTCTACGTAAATAGAGAGGATGAATGTGAAGTTACAAAGCCATTCACATTCTTGTCATTGCTGAAGTGCTTTCATTTGATTTAGTTCTAGAAAGTCAGCATGGATCAGCCTTATGTTCCCCACCTCCAGGCCCTATTCTTCTGCCTCAGTTTCAGAAAAAAATGTTTAGAATAACCTATACAGTTAAATATTTCTGTTATCTTAGTAATTTACATTATTCTTAGATTTTATTTTCTTGAAAAGAAAACCCTAATAATAGTACCAACATTATTACACCCCCTCCCTCAACCAAAAAAAAAAAGCTAATACATTGCTCTCACTTTATATATAGTTGGAAATTTTATATATGTACATACTGTATATACTGTACCTGTGTACATATACACCAAATATAAATGCTTATATATGTATATACACCTATGTGTTCATATATAGTTATCATTTATTTAATATTGTGAATATAGTTATTTATTATTATTTCCTTTGAAATATTCTTTCTACAATAGTTAAAAATGCCAATTTTGAATTTTGTTTATTAAGTATGTTTTATTTTTATTCACCTTGACTTTCAGACAAGGGCAATTGAAACAAATATAACAATATTATAAAGATTTTAATGCTATTGATGGAAATTTTTTTGAATTTTTGTATTTATTTTTCATGAAGGACATGAACAATTAATTATCAAAATGGAAAAAAAATAGCTGAAACTTCAAGGATATTCTATAATTTTTTTTTTGCCATGATTCATCTCAGACCATCTGTATAGTGGCAATAAATCAGTAAAAAAATATGCCCATGTGTTTCTTCAAAATATAATTTAGTCTACTTCCTCCCCCAAACAGTTTTTCACTTCCCACGGATAGTGATTATATTTTATTTACATAAACATGGTGGAAAGATTATTGTGTCTTCCCAGCTGCAGATACCTGGAAATGGTTTCTTGATTACAGCTCTCATTGGTTTAGAGTAACCTTCGTACATTTTGTGAATCAGTTACGTCTATATCCCTTATGGATAAAGTTACAGAATAGTTTTAAATTTTTTTCCTTAGTATTTTCTGTATTCAGTATTCTACTTCATTCTTGCAAAACAGGAGAACAAACCCACAGAGTCTAGTTTCCAGAAGGAGACCAAATAAAGCACATTCTTTTGCTATTGAGTTGCCCCAATAACTGGATAACTTCTTGTCTAGCTAGGTGTCTCCAAGATGTTTCAGCCTTCTAATTCTAACTGGAAAGAATCTTATGCTTTTTTTAGATATTCTTGTGTATTAACTTTTTCTAGCAGCTTTTACATTAACATGTAGAAGATTAAAACATAAGCGACTGAAAAAATCCAACATTAGCAGGTTAAACAGCTATTGTTTTTCCCACTGTTAGACGTGTGCATGCATTAATTGATGTTCAGAAAAATTCAGTAACATGCTCAAAGTTGTGGAGCCCAAGTTTGAAAATGTCACTGTTTTATATCTCTACACAGTAGTTATTTTTCCTGGTATACCATACTGCCTCTAAGAAAGATTAAGCTTCTTTGCTGGCATAGGTTGATATGATCCAGAATCTTATTTTTAGTTGTCTAAGGATGCCACTTAATGCTGTTTATGCATTGATTGTTTCAGGTATAGTATTATTTGTGTTTACCGTATTAATTCTAGGCTATACCAGCACTTAAGCTTTCTATAAAAACCAACACTTGGCTACGTATGATGGCTCATGCCTGTAATCCCAGCACTTTGGGATGCTGAGGTGGGCAGATCACCTGAGGTCAGGAGTTTTGAGACCAGCCTGGGTAACATATAGTGAAACCCCGCCTCTACTAAAAAATACATAACTTAACTGGGCATGGTGGTGCACGCCTGTAGTCCCAGGTACTCGAGAAACTCAGGTAGGAGAATCACTTGAACCTGGGAGGTGGAGGTTGCAGTGAGCCGAGATCACACCACAGTACTCCAGCCTGGACAACAGAGCAAGACTGTGTCTCAAAAAATAAAATAAAATAAAATAAAATAAAATAAAATAAAATAAAATAAAATAAAACCCTTGCTTTTTGCTAAGATTCTTTATGTTTCAAGGTTTCAATAAATATGAATTCTTATATCAATATTATAGAGATCCAATTCAATTGAACTCAGTTGGAATAATAATTTTTGTGTTAATATAATTTTGTAGTTATTTTCCACCCATATTCTTATCTGCAGTGTACAGTTATTATTTTTATCTCCAAAAATATGATAATAAGGATGTAGTGACACTTCCTTTTACCCGTTAAATTTTTACAAATTTCTTATTTTACAAATCTAAAGAAACTGACCAAAACATTGACCTTTTATTTAATTTTTAGTTTGTAGTTAATATGGAAATACAGTGATTCTCACATAAATTCATTCAGGATTAACTTTGATTTCTAGACTCATTTAATGAACTGGCTTATTGATATATTCACTTAACATATGTGAAAAAGAAATCTTATTTTTGCCATCACCACCAAATCACCAAAGCTGTTTTTCTCCTACTCTTCTACAAATTTTGTCAATATCTGTTTTCTGAAGCCAAAACTTGAGATTCAACTTCGATTCATTTTTTTCCTGACAACTTGCATTAACATCATAAAGAAATCCTATCTGCTTCTTATTAAAATACATCAAAAAATTTACCAATTAAGTTTTGTCCTAGAAATAACACTTTTAGTGCTATGGTAATGCTATCTTTTTTTTTCCTTCCCATTATGATTTTCACCATGGAGACTGATATGGTTTGGCTGTGTCCCCACCCAAATCTCATCTTGAATTTTAGCTCCCACAATTCCCACATGTTGTAGGAGGGACCTGGTGAGAGGTAATTGAATCATGGGGGCAGGTCTTCCCTGTGCTGTTCTTGTGATAGTGAATAAATATTACAAGATCTGATGGTTTTAAAAAGGGGAGTTTCCTTTCACAAGCTCTCTTCTGTTGTCTGCCACCATGTGAGATGTGCCTTTCCCCTTCCACCATGACTGTGAGGCTTCCTCAGGCATGTGGAACTGTGAGTCCATTAAACCTCTTTCTTTTGTAAATTGCCCAGTCTTGGGTATGTCTTTATCAGCAGCATAAAAGCAGATTAATACAGGGACATGCCTGAACTAGTCTGCTGGAATTTGAGTCCACCTGTAGTGTCCAAGCCCCTTTAGGTAAGGCTATCTTGACAAGCCAGCCCCATCAACTAATTGAACAAGCCCAGCTGAGCTTAGCAAACCTGTGCCAGTTCAGAAGAATTGACCAGCCAACTCACAGATTTATTGGAAATAAAGGTTTATTGCTTTTTGTCATTGACGTATTGTGATTGCTTGTTAGGAAATACTATGTGATATTAAATTAGTGAAAGTGTATGAGTGGGTGTGTGTGTGTATCTGTGTATAAATTTTCTTGGTTTGACCTTGTCTCATTTTGGTAATTGAGTTATATAAGCATGTTCAAATGCATTAGATTAGGTAGCTTGTCATGTTTTCTATGCTTTGAATAATTTTTACAACAGCCACATTCCTCATTCTTAAGTATTTCCATTTATTTTTGGTTTATTAAGATTTTTGTATAATTCCTGGAGCCAATTTTGGTTTTTGATAAGCTTTAGAAAATTTTTCCATTTTAGTCACATAAATATGCATATTTGAATCTATATTTTCATATTACTGTCTTATTTTTAATTTAATTTACTCTAATTATGGTCCCTCTCTTTTAGATTTGTTTATTTGATGAACTATTTCTGTTATTAAATTTCTGTTTATTCTGTAACATTTTATACTTTATATTTTATTTATGTTAATGTAATTATCATTTGTGATCATTTCAGTGAAAAGCTATGTTCATTTAGTTTTAATGTTTCATCTAATAAAGAATTATTCAGAAATAGTTTTATATGGGCTTAGGGAAAGTGTTTTATTATTTCCTCAATTAATTTTATCATAGAAGTTAAAAAATGATTATTTTCTAGAATAAACATGGTTTTCATTATAGATTTTTTTGAAAGTTTATAGTGATTTATTTATGAAAATATAAATAATTATATGGTAAATCATGATTTTTGCTTGAAAAAATATTAAATCTCTTTTTACTGGATATACAGTATTACAGCTCTTTATTACAGCTCTTTGGCTTATTTTCATAATTGCAGTATTTAAATCCTTGCATACTCTTTTTTTCCACCTTATATCTTGATTTCTGGGGGTATAATATCAGTCTTCAACAAATATTTTAATTTTTTGGCCCTTTCTATTACATATGTAAAGCTATTATATTGGGTAAATACAAACTTGTGACTGCTATGTCATCTTGGTGAATTATTCTTTTTATCAACATTCTTGCATCTTTTCCATTTCTTTCACAAGATAGGATGTTGCCTGTTACATGATTGTTTATTTGTCAGTTCTCTCCTTTATCTTTATTTATTTATTCTGTGATTTTTATTCTCACATTCCTATACCATTTTAAATTTTTCTCTTTTGTATAGAATACATGTTATTTCTTATACTTTGAATTATTATGGTTATCATTACTATTGTAATTATCTGATTTTTATTTATAATATTTTTCTACTTCTTCAATTTCCCTTGCATTTATTTGTCTCATACACTGCTTTTTTTGTTTGTTTGTTTGATTGTTTTATTTAGTCATTTGTTTGTTACTTTTTAGCTCTATTAGTTGGAGAATAATATCTTCTATTCATATTTCTTTAGTGGTTCCCTTTAACATTATAATTTTGTGTTTAGCTTTTTTTTTTTAAAAAAGTATAGTGTCAACTATACATCCCTATTAAGCTTCTTAATCTGTTTTACTAAGACTATACTCAACAACTATCATCGTTCTAACACCTGCACTTTTAACTATACAGTTATAATAAACTTTACTTTTTTATTGATCAAACATAAAGATACACTGATGTCTGTTTTCCACTGCTTTCTGTATCCCACTGCCTAAAAATCCATAATTTTTGTAGAAGTAAATATTTATAGCTCTTATGTTATAAGCCTAATGCCTAAAATATTTAAATATTATATGACTGAAAATATCTTCATCACTTTCATAACAAAATTAGAGTTGAGCTAAATATATTATTTTATATTCTCAGCACCAGAGTTTTTCTTAGTATTCTGTAGTTATTGCTCTGAAATTCTCTTTCATCTAATGTTGCTTATAGAAAATATTGTGACAATATTACTATTCTATTTTTATTTATTTCTCTCAGTCCATTTTCTCTTTTTTTTCCTTCTTTCTCTACTACCTTTTGGAATTTTGTACTTTTTCCCTAATGTTCAGAAATCCCAATGCCATGTGTATAAATAGATCTTGCTGTTAAACAAAGTTTCTGATTCAGAAATCAGTGTACTCTAATATTGAAAAACCACAATTTAACAGTTCTAAATTTTCCAAATTTTACATCCCACACAATCTCTCTTCACTTTATTCTGGAAATTATTTTATACAATTTGAAGATTTCTCCCTTTATTCCCTATGCTTACTTATTTTTATACTATATTTTTGTTATATTTTGGGAGATATTCTTGAACCTCCATTCACTAGTTCACTGATTTTTCCTATAAACTCTCCATTTTGCTATTCAAAAGATTGATTATTTTACAATAAAATTTCCATTTTTAAATCTACCTGTTATACCAACTTACTTTTTGTTTTATAGGTGTATTTCACCTAACTTTCTGCAAATATACATTATTTTTATTTTAACATACCACTTCAAATCTTTTTCCATTCATTTGTCCCTGACTTTCACCTCCCTTCGGATTGATGTCTTCTTTACATTCCTCCCACCTTTGATGACAATTCCCTGCTTTGTCCTGAACTTTGTTTTTCTTTTTTGATCTGATGCCATCTTGTTTTAGACTGGCAAAGATTTCTTCATGGTTTTTGATCTATTAAGACTCTCACCTTTATTAGAACACTGCCATGTATGAACTTCAAGGTATTTTCTATCATAAATAAAATCCATCAGCCTCAAACCATACAATAAATAGTGTACTATTTGTTTTTCAAAATAAATAAAATACATTAATTATGAAATTCTTTCTACAAGACAGTCCTCCTTTCATAGAACTGTAGACTGTAGAAGTAATTGTAGTGATAAGAACATCTTAATTCTCTATTCATACCTTGTATCTAACCTTGGAACTGAAAATAAATATTTATTTTAGATATTTTTAAACTAAAGTTATTTATAAAACTTGGTGTGGAATGTAATTAGTTTAGCTATTTTTTTTTCAAGTTTTGAGAGCTCTTTAGAGAACTTCAATAACCCACTTTTGGCTGTTTATATAATAACATAGTGTTAAAGCTTATTGTTTTGAAAAAAAAACTGTTAGTTTCAGAAGTGATGCTCCAAAATTGAATTAATATATACCCAATTGATGGCTTTGAAGTAAAATCCATTTAATGTGTTTCAAATTTAAATATCTTTCTTGGTAAGTGGATTATGTACCTCATCACTTAGTACCCAACCATCAATTTTACTTTCATCTTTGAACAGTAATGTCCTCTATGACATATAAGCAAGCTTGCATTTGGTTAGTAAGTTGGATGAGAGTCATCTATATTTACTGTCAAAAGCAGCAGCAGAACTCTTGCATCTATGGAAATAAATTCACTTCCAGTATGAAACTATAAATCTCTTCAAAATAGGCTTTTACAAAAAGAATAAAAAAGGAACTCTGCATCACATTGCTATATTAATTATGGAAGTAGTAGCAATTGGTCCAACTCCACATGGTAATGTAACACCTTGGAGCAGTCCATATAAATTTTAACCACTTATATAACCAAACTAGAAACTGATATCCTGACAGGAAAGACGGAGGAGAGCAGAAAGGTAATCAAAGTATTGGTTTTAGGACATAATTTAAATAGCAATGATAAATAATGATACTTCTAAATATTGTGTTTGTGTGTGTGTGTGTGTATTAAATACTTCAAGCAGGATGACAAGGTAACATAATAGTTGAACTCAAACCTAAATATTTATTCAAGTAATAACATCCATGGGCATTGCAAACAAAGACATGAAACTGAACTTATAACTGGAATTACAGAGAGAACTACATATGATTTTAATTGGAAACAAAGACATTAATCTCAGCTTATAACTGGAATTACAAAGAGAACTACACACGATTTCAGTTCAAGTGACTTTGGATTTTGTACAATAAATGACCTGTTCAATGACATATGTGAGTTGATTGATTTTGTGTGTCCTTCAAACTCAATTTAAAATCTCTACAACATGCACACACATGTACCCATATGATACCCAGACATTTTTTCCTCCTTTAGCTTTTGTATGGATAATATAATCCTCCATACTACAAGACTAAAGAAGAGTTCAGGAAAGAATGTAATGATATTTTGTCATATAGTGGGAATAAAGGTAGATAGAGAAATGTAGAACATAGGACACCCAATTAGGATGATCATCTGAATGAGTAGTATCGATTTATTAATTGACTTATGCATCAAGTTAATGGGGTTTGAGGTAAGTGTTTTCTTATGTAGGGATAAGAAAAAAAATAGAATTTTGACAACATAGACCAGTTCGAGGGTGTGATTTTAAATACTGGAATAAAAAGGGACATTTTTTGGAAGTCAATTGACTAGTTAATAGTCAACAGATTACAAAAAAAATTTGATTGAAAAATAATTTGAGTGAGTAAAAATAAGGTAAAATGCAGGGAGTTAATGGGACTACCAGCAATGTTGTATTGTGTACCATACCCGAGATGATTGTCAAACCATGTAAAGGAAATAAAATATGATGGAAACATTAAATAGTTTTTGGATGTGAAAGACATACCAAAGAATGTAATTGGGCTTTATTGAGAAAGGTATGAAAAAATACTGGAAGTATGAAAATGAAAACCTACTCTTTGCCTTAAAAGTACTCAGTTTGGCCAGTGGCTCACGCCTGTAATCCCAACACTTTGGGAGGCCGAGGCGGGTGGATCACGAGGTCAGAAGATCAAGACCATCCTGGTTAACACAGGGAAACCCCGTCTCTACTAAAAATACAAAATTTAGCCGGGCGGGCGTGGTGGCGGGCGCCTGTAGTCCCAGCTACTCAGTAGGCTGAGACAGGAGAACGGCGTGAACCTGGGAGGTAGAGCTTGCAGTGAGCCGAGATTGCGCCACTGCACTCCAGCCTGGGCGACAGAGCAAGACTCCGCGTCAAAAAACAAACAAACAAACAAAAAGAACTCACGGTTCAGTGAGGAAGATAAGCGATTAAATTATTTGTAATTACTACGCCATATAATAAGCTCCAAGATGGAGACTTGGATTGAATCATATGATAGTTCAGAGGAAAATTTAGATTGTCAGATGTAGGATGTCTTTCCAAAGACCTGAGCGCATTCATAGATGTATAGGAGTTCTCCCAATGAAGACTTGGTGAGAGTGGAGCATACTCCTGAACAAATGAGAAAACTTCTAGCCAGGGACAGAGGTTTACAATAACATTTGACATCCAAGTAGCAGTCAATAGAGGCATTGCACAGAAATGGCAAAAGATGTGCTACCATGAACCTGGTCATAAATAATGTTTTTGCACTAGTCAAAATAATTTGAAATGTATCATAAAAGTCTTGGGATATTAAGGTAAATAACATTATCAAATTTTATCAAATTTGCTATAGAAAAATACTGCTTTACTAGTGGCTCTCACATCAAGTTCTTATTCAGGTTCTACCTTTTCACTAAGTCCAACTCTGACCACTTCAATTGAAATTTTACCCAACAAGATATCTGCCTTTCAAATACCCCTTAATTTGCTCTATTTATTTACACAGCATATATACCCTCTCTGCATACATTTATATGTATATTTATTGTCCAGCATACTAACACCTAGAATAGTAATTGTTTTTCATAGTAAGCCTACTCATTCAATATTTGTTGAATTGAAGTATTTCAACAGAGAGGATGAGACGCTAAGTAGTCATAGTGGTGAGACTAAATATAAATTAATCTAAGGAATAAGGAACACTTTGTTCAATGGGGAAATAGTAAACACATAACTGAACTTTTAAAACATCTGATTACTCTTTCACTATATACAGAAAAAAATCACATTAAGGTGATAGTGACAAGCTTTCACAGAGTATAAAATGCAATACAATTTGAGCATGTTTGGTTGGAAGTTGTTATATATTTTTTGAAAACTTACTAGGACACGGTTGGAAAGTCTATTTCAGCCAAATCACTGGCTATATTGCCCAACTTTGCCTATTATATAAGAAAAAAGTCTTACCTTGCTTTGGGAATTCAAGGTGGGAGGATCGCTTGAGGCCAAGAGTTTTAAACCAACCTAGGCACCACAGGGAGAGATCCTGTATCAACAAAAAATAAATTTTCTGTTAAATTATCCAGGCTTGGTGGCCTGCGCTTGTAGTCATAGCTACTCTGAAGGTTGAGGTGGGAGGATCACTTGAGCCCAAAAAAGTTAGAGGTTAAAGAAAGCTATGATTGTGCCACTGTACTCCATCCTGGGCAACAGAGTGAGACCCTGTCTCAAACTAAAAAAAAAAAAGGAGTTAACCAAATATGCAACTTTAGGGAATAAATATTTACTCAGGAAATATGAAGGCTTAGATTATGTTTGTGTGTATGTGTATCTATGTGAGTATGTCTGAATGTGTGTTTGCCTGTGTGCATGCATGCTGCATAACTACACAGAAGGGCTACATAAATAATGCCAAATAACAGATGTGTAAAAAATAGAATGAGAAAGTATCATGATTCCATTTATATGAAATATCCAAGCATATACTAAAGATATAATTTTGACCTGATCACAGACAGATAAAAGTGAAATTTGAAGGGAGTAAGAGATGTTAAAACTAGATAAGGCTGGGCGCGGTGGCTCACACCTGTAATCCCAGCACTTTGGGAGGCCAAGGTGGGTGGATCACAAGGTCAGGAGGTCAGGAGTTCGAGACCATCCTGGCTAACACGGTGAAACCCCATCTCTACAAAAAATACAAAAAATTAGCTGGGCGTGGTGGCTGGTGCCTGTAGTCCCAGCTACTTGGGAGGCTGAGGCAGGAGAATGATGCGAACCCAGGAGGCAGAGCTTGCAGTGAGCCGAAATCACACCACTGCACTCCGGCCTGGGTGACAGAGCAAGACTCTGTCTCAAAAAAACACAACAAAACAAAACAAAAAACGACATAATTGGTAGAAAAACAACATGCTATATACTTTAAAAATATATATTTCAGGAGATTTCTAGTAATTCAGACCTGAAAACAACACTTTTATTGTTGTTGGCAACAGTATATGGACAATAAAGTATGAGTTTATTTGTAATAATTAATTGTAAAACTAATGCATTATTATGGGTAAGACCAAGACTGTAGGGAACAAAATGACAGCTAAAAAATAACAACTGTGCAATATTCTGTCTTCTCAAGAAATATAATTTAATAGAATGTAAATTAAAGCTAAGTACTAGTTTTAAAAATAAGTGTATTATTATAGAAATCAGCACATTGTACATTTAGCTACCATAGAGAGGTGGCACCTATTTTATAACAGGCCTAGCCATACTAGATTAATGTAAACAATGTCTCTAAGGTGTTAAGTCTAAGTAAGTAACCTGTAAGTGTAAGACAAGATCCATTTCTCAGAAACTTCATAGACTTCAAAGGAACCTGCAATATAATTTTCCTATAGCTGTCACTTTTTGGCAGTAGATTTTCATTAGTAGTGTAAACTTCGTGTAGTGTTCTAGAGGCCAGAACAAAATGAAGTAGTGTAATTTTAAAGACATATTCAATACATTTTCATCCATTAGTCCAATTATGACTAATACAATCTTTTTACTTGTTATTTATCAGCTTCTTCAGGAATCAGAACTATCGTGCAAATTTTCTAATTATTTGCCATCTTGTTTGCATAATGGGTAATAATTAATCAAATTCAGTATAAATAAATAACACCTATAACTCTAAACCATAAATGGAAATTTAGAAAAATTGGGGCTCATCTTACAGATTTTTAAATTTAGGTAACATTTTGGTAAGGTCCAAATGATTTTAGAAGTTACACTAGAATATGAGTCCCCTCGTCCATGGAACAAAATAAAACTCCACACTCATTGTGAAAAAGAGTGACTTGTCTATTTAGATACCTTGTAAAGCACTGTGAATCCACTCAGTTAAGTTACTTTATTTGTGATGTAGTATGCTCAAAGTTTTATGAGGTAGTTTGCATTATATTTTGAGTATTAAGTATTGAAAACAGAAACTTAGGGAATATTTTTAAAAAATTTATTCCATCTACTTTCAGTGTTTCAGTTTTTCCTGCTGTAAACCTTTAATAAAGCGAGGGATATAAAAATAGTGAGAAACGCATAAGACAATGGCAAACAACCTCAATATATAATGATTAGCAAGAACACTAGCCCTCTTGAAATATAACATGGAGAAAACAAGCAAGAAAATATTTTAATAATGATGGCATTCAATATTTGGGCCTTATCAAAGTACACCACTGTGTACTTTGATATTATTGCACCCATGAATTCTAAAATGGATATTTTAACTTTATTCAATTTACCAATGAAAAATACAAATGCTTGCAATAATAAGAAATCTTGAAGAGAAAATAAACCTATAAAATTAGAGTCATCTTTAAAAGAAATTGTCTTGGAAGTAGTTTATTGTTCTGCTCATCTAATTTATGCCATTTTAAAAATGTCATAAAAATTTTAACAACATTCTCTACTGAAGAAAAAATTTTTGGGTGTATTAGAAAAGTCTCTTTACATTGAATTTAGCAAGTTCATGCCTAATGCCATATGTGCACCATTCTGTGCTGATGACATTGAAGTCATCTATTCCCAATTTCCAAATACAGACTGTATACTGTGGACTTCTGTTGAATTTCACCCACCCCCAGCCCCCAAGCATCTGTCAGTTCTTTCTTTCTAATAACTTGCTATTTTCTTTTAAATAATCTTCCACCTCATTCCAATTTTTGTCTTGTTGGGAAAGTAAGTCCTGCCACCTTCAAGAAGCCAAGAAAGACAAAATAGTCTGATATTTTATTCCAAACTCCATGAAAAGCATTGTGAAAGAATATTTCAAGAAGTAAAGAAACAGTACTTTATTGCTTTTAATATAGTGTACATTCAGACTATTAGTGTTATAAAGGGTTTTTGCTTCTATGTGCAAAGCCCTCTGGAATTTCCACAATTCATACCCTTTCTCGATCCTGTTACCTGGCCTCCCATTAATTCATTTAAAATTCAATTTTACCTTATTGATCTAGCATGATTTTCTGCAGATGGCTACCAATTAACCACAATTCTCAATTAACTAGGGTGGTCAGGCTATGCTGTCATAAAATTTAGTACAAAATTTCAACAACTTTTTTGTCTGGCTCATTATGTTTTCAAGGCAGAGCAGGGCTTCTGCTCATGACAGAAGATAATAAGCTAATGCAGACTCTACCTTCTTAAAATGGCACCATTTCAACAGAAGGCTTCAGGGGTTGTCCCAGTGGGGCAAGAATTCTCCTACAATGAAGTACTTCAGGAAACGTTATGTGTCACTCAAAGCCCAAAGGCTAGAACTGGACTCCAAAGCCCTGCTTAACTCAAAGGGGCTAGACATTGTACTCTCAAGTGCCTGAAAGGAGAGAGGAACCAGACACTGGGCTCTAGAAGTTACCACCACATCACACATTCATAAATACAAAATAATTTACCTGTACTAAATAATGATTATAATGAAGACTCTGCAAATATGGCCTATATGTTTGTCAACTCTTCAGTCTCACATGTAAAACCTAGAACCCGTACCAAGTTTATTTACTAAATT